>NC_000003.12:83646363-83949393 GCF_000001405.40 Homo sapiens
CTGTTTAGATGGTGATATATCATCCCCTTACTTAAAACCAAATGTATTCTCATATCATACATAAAAGCATGAAAATATAAGAACAAATATTTCTTAGCTTTGCTAATCGCACAATTATTGGAGAAATCTAATTTGTCCAATGATTTATATTAACTAGTAATAGGATCGCAAGGCTTTCCCCATATAGGTAAACTCAAATTCAAAGACTTGAATTTTCGCATCAACGTTCATCAGGGATATTGGCCTGAAGTTTTGTTTTCTAGTTATGTCACTGCCAGGTTTTGGTATTCAAGATGATACTGGCCTCACAAAATGAGCTAAGTATAAGTCTCTTCTTTTCAATTCTTTGGAATAGTTTCAGAAAAATGGTACTAATTCCTCTTTGTACCTCTGGTAAAATGTTGTTGTAAATCTGTCTGGTCCTGGGCTTTTCTTTGGTTGGTGGGCCATTTATTACTGCCACAATTTCAGGACTTGTTATTGGTCTATTCAGGGATTCAACTTCTTCCTGGTTTAGTCTTGGGAGGGTGTATGCATCCAGGAATTTATCCATTTCTTCTAGATTTTCTAGTTTATTTGTGTAGAGGTGTTTATAGTATTCTCTTATGGTTATTTATATTTCTGTGGGGTCAGTAGTGATATTCCCTTTATCATTTTTTATTGTGTCTATTTGATTCTTCTCTTTTCTTCTTTATTAGTCTAGGTAGTGGTCTATTTATTTTTTTATTTTTTATTTTTTTTCAAAAAACCAGCTCATGGATTCATTGATTTTTTTTGAAGGCTTTTTCATGTCTCCATCTCCTTCAGTTCTGCCCTCATCTGTGTTATTTCTTGTCTTCCGCTAGCTTTTGGATTTGTTTGCTCTCGCTTCTCCTGTTCTTTTTGTTGCAATGTTAGCGTGTCAATTTGAGATTTTTCTAGCTTTCTTATGTGGGTATTCAGTGCTATAAATTTTCCTCTTAACACTGCTTTAGCTGTCTCCCAGAGATTCTGGTACCTTGTCTCTTTGTTCTCATTGGTTTCAAAGAACTTCTTGGTTTCTGCCTTAATTTCATTATTTACCCAGGAGTCATTTACAAGCAAGTTATTCAATTTCCTTGTAACTGTGTGGTTTTAAGTGAGTTTCTTAAACTTGAGTTCTATTTTGATTGCACTGTGGTTTGAGAGACTGTTTGTTATGATTTTGGTTCTTTTATACTTCTTGAGGATTGTATTACTTCTAATTATGTGAATAATTTTAGAGTAACTGCCATATGTCACTGAGAAGGCAGTATATGTTGTTGTTTTGGGGCAGCATATGTTGTTGTGTTCTGTATATATCTCAGTTCCACTAGATCCAGAGCTGAGTTCAAGTCCTGAATATCCGTGTTAATTTTCTGTCTTGACAATTTGTCTAATATTGACAGTGGGATGTTAAAATCTCCCTCTATTATTGTGTGGGAGTCTAACTGTCTTTGTAGGTCTCGAATCTGGTGCTTCAGTATTGGGTGCATATATATTTAGGAGTGTTAGCTCTTCTTGCTGAATTCATCCCTTTACCATTATGGATTGCCTTTCTTTGTCTTTCTTGATCTTTGTTGGTTTAAAGTCTGTTTTGCCAGAAAGTAGGATTGCAAACTCTGCTTTTTTCTGCTTTCCATTTGCTTGGTAGATCTTCCTCCATCCCTTTATTTTGAGCTTATGTGTGTCTTTGCATGCAAGATGGGTTTCTTGAATATAGCACACCAATGGGCCCTGACTCTTTATCCAACTTGCCACTCTGTGTTTTTTAATTAGGGCATTCAGCCCATTTACATTTAAGGTTATGTGTGTATTTTATCCTGAAATCATGCTATCTGGTTATTTTGCACACTAGTTGATGCAGTTTCTTCATAGTGTCGTTGGTCTTTGTACTTCAGTGTGTTTTTGCCATGGTTAGTACCAGTTTTTTCTTTCCATATTTAGTGTTTTCTTCTGATCTGTTGCAAGGCAGCACTGGTGGTGACAGATTCCCTCAGCATTTGCTTGTCTGAAAAGGATTTTATATCTCCTCTCCTTATGAAGCTTAGTTTGTCTGGATATGCAGTGCTTGGTTGGAAATTCTTTTCTTTAAGAATGCTGAATATTGGCCCCCACTCTCTTCTGGCTTGTAAGGTTTCTGCTGAGAGGTCCACTGTTAGTCTGAATAGCTTCCCTTTGTAGGTAACCTGGCCTTTCTCTCTGGCTGATCTTAACATTTTTTTTCCTTCATGTCGACCTTAGAGAAGCTGATGATTACGTGTCTTTGGGTTGATCTTCTTGTGGAGCACCTTACTAGGGTTATCTAGATTTCCTGAATTTGAATGTTGTTCTGTCTTTCTAGCTTGAGGAACTTCTCCTGGATGATAGCCTGAAGTCTGTATTCCAACTTGATTTTACTCTCCCTATCTTTTTCAGGTACTCCGATCAGTCGTAAATTCAGTCTTTTTACATAGTCCCATAGTTCTTGGAGATTTTGTTTGATCCTTTTAATTCTTTTTTCTCTAATCTTGTTTGCCTATCTTATTTCAGCAAGACTGTCTTCCAGTTCTAATATTCATTCTTCTGCTTTATTGATTCACCTATTGACACTAGTGTTTGCATCACAAAGTTGTCATGCTGTGTTTTTCAGCTCCATCATGTCATTTATGTTCCTCTCTAAGCCAGTTATTTCTAGTTAGCAGCTCCTGTAACCTTTTATCATGGTTCTTAGCTTGTTTGCATTGGGTTAGAACATGCTCCTTTATCTTAGAAAAGTTTGTTATTACCCATCTTCTGAAGCCTACTTCTGTCAATTTGTCTCTCTCATCCTCCTTTCAGTTCTGTACCCTTGCTGGAGAGGTGGTGTGATCATTTGAAAGGGAAGAGGCACTCTGGCCTTTTGTGGTTTGAGCATTTTTTTCATTGATTCTTTCTCAAGTTCATGAGTTTGTCTTGTTTCAATCTTTGAAGCTGCTGACCTTTGGATAGGGTTTTTCTAGGGACTTTGTTGTTGCTGTTGTTGTTGCTTTCTGTTTGTTTATTTGTTTGTTTTTCAACAGTCAGATCCATCTTCTCTAAGCCTGCTGCAGTTTGCTGGGGGTTCCCTTCAGGCTCTATTCATCTGTGTCCCTCCTGCACCTGGGGACGTCCCCTGAGGAGGCTGAAGAACAGCAAAGATGGGTGCCTCCTTCATCCTCTGGGATCTCTGTCCTCCAGGGGCATTGACCCAATGGCAGTAGGAACTCTCCTGTATAAGGTGTCTGGTGACCCCTGATAGGGCGTCTCACTCATTCCGGGGGCATGGGATCCAGGACCTGCTTTAGAAAGCACTGTGGCTGTCCCTGGGTGAAGGGGGTGTGCTGCACTGGGGGAAACCTGCTCATCTGTGCTGCCTGGATTCCTCAGTGCTAGCAAGGGGAAAGACTAAGTCTGCTGGTCCGTGATCATGGCCACCCCTCTCCGTAGGGGCTCAGGCCGAGGGAGATAAGAATTCTGTCCCTACTCCCCTGGCTGGACTTGCTGGAGCTCCTGCAGGGAGGACTCATCCAGTGAGGAAGGTTGGGTTAGGGTCCGGCCTGACGAGGAAGTCTGACCACAGTCCGCCACAGCCGGTGTGCTACGTTGTGTGGAATACCTCTTGGGATTAAGCTGTCCAGTCTCTTCAGCACCAGCAGGGAATAAAACAGCCACCTGGAGCTGTAGTGATGGGTGCTGCCCTTCTCTCCCAAGAGTTCAGTATCTTAGGCAGCTAGCAGCCACTGTGATGGCTGTCATCCCTCCCGCAAGATGCTCAGTTTTCTTATGCAGCTGGCAGTAGCAGTAATGATGGCTGCCCCTCCTGGACAATTGGTAGCCTTAGACAGAATTGTAGCCTTAGACAGAATCCAGCCAAGTGGCTGTTGAGAATCTGTGTGGCTCTGGGGTGGGGATTAAAGGCCCTGGTTGTATGGGCTCATGAGTGGGATCTCCTGATTTGTGGGCTGCATAGATCCATGGAAAAAGCACTTTTTCCCAGTCTCAGTAGCACGCTCACTCACCACCTCCCTTGGCTGGGGATGGGAGCTCCCCTTGCCCCATGTGGCTCTCAGGTGGACTGACATACCACCCTGCTTTTTCTTGTTTTTCGTGGGTCACACTAACTGCCTAGTCAGTCCTTATGATAAAACCTGGATACCTCAGTTGCCGGTGCAGGATTTGCATGCTGTTTTGGTTCTTCTCAGTGCAAGCCTCCAACCACAGCAGCTTCTAGTCTGCCATCTTGGTCCCACCTCTAAAATATTTTTGATTATGGCATAAATCTGTGTTAGTTCATTCTCAAGCTGCTAATAAAGACATACCTGAGACTGGATAATTTATAAAGGAAAGAGGTTTAACTGACTCACACTTTAGCATGGCTAGGGAGGCCTCAGGACACGTACAATCTTGGTGAAGGCGAAGCAAACACATGTCCTTCCTCGCATGATGGCAGGAAGGAGAAGAATAAAAGACATGGGGAAAGCCCGTTATAAAACCTTCAGCTCTTCTGAGAACTTACTCACTATCACAAGAATAGCATAAGGGAAATCACCGCATGATTCAATTACCTCCCATCTGGTCCCTCCCATGACACTTCGGGATTATGGGAGCTACAATTCAAGGTGAGATTTGAGTGGAGATACACCCAAACCATATCAAAATTTAATCTTGTCGTGAGGCTTTTTTATATATCACATTTTATCTAATATATTTTCATCAATGAAACTGGCATATTATTCTCTTTTCTCAAAATATACTTGCCAAGTTTTTATATCAAGTTAGCTCTGGAATCATAAATCGAGGAGAGTTTTATATTTTCCACTTCTTTGGATATATTTGCATGACATTAACAATAATTAATTCTTACTTCATTGTACAATTTATCAGTAAAGCCATCTGGGACTGATATTTTCTTCAAGGAATATTTTTATTAAATATTTAATTTTATAATAAACAGGCTTATTATATTTTGTTCCAATCTTATTTTTTAATAATATGTTTATTTAATCTAAATTTTCAAAGATATTGGCTCAATTTTTCTCTAATATTGTTTTTCTGTCTTTTCACTATCAGGAAGATATGTAGTAACACCTTTTTTTTTTTCTTGATATTACTCAATGCTTGCTCTTTTCAATTGCCAATCTCATTAATGTTATTAGTTTTTTGAATATACCAACTTTTGGCCTTTTTATTCTATTTTATTGTTATATTCCCTTTTATTAATATCTGACCTTGTTTTTATTATTTCTTTTATTCTATTATTCTATTACATTATTCCACTATTCTTTTCTGTGGTTAATTTTGCTCTTTATTACTACCTTCTGGGAAGGATGATTGCTTCAATTATTTTTAGCCTATTTTTGCAATCTGTGAATTTAAGGCTATACATTTTCCTACAAGAATATCTTTAGAAGATACAATAAGCCATATTTTTTAATGCAACTATTATCAGGTCAGGATATTTTTTAATTCTCATCACTGTTTCTTCACTGTACATGAGCTTTGTGGCCTTGTCCTTTTCATCATCTTTTGAAAACTCTCACCATTATCTCCTTGGGTATTTTTACCTTCTCTTCTTTCTTTAACTCCATATACACTTGATCTCTAAGTCTCTTTTCAATATTACCTATATTTATTCTGTTCTTTTTTGTATTTTCATTATTCTGTGATTTTGAAATTTGTATGATTATTTTCTTGTAATATTTTCAAGTTTACTACATTCTCCTCGGTGAACTCTAATTAGCTGTCAAACACCTTCATTCAAGTTTTAATTTTTCTGTTGTAGAATTTTGGTTTGCTCTTTAGGAGCTTCCAGTCCTCTATGAGCTTTTTCAGTATTTTATAGTCTTACACATATTAATAATATCTACTGAAGCTTCTGCCTCGTGAGCCTGTTTTCTTGCTCTATAAATTTCTTTTATCTGTGGTTTCTCTTTGTTTTAAATGCATATGGTCCTTTTTTGGGGGGGGGCAGGGTTGATTAATTTTCATATATGTACAAAAATTAAAGAAAAAAACCCTGAGGTCTGGATAATATTTTTATTTGAGAATTTACATTTATATCTTAGAAGCTGCTTAAGTAACTGAAGCTTCATATCAGTCTCTCCATCAACTTTACTTTTGGTTTTCTTTGCCACTAAATTGTGGCCTCTCATGTTCCCTGCTCAAAGTACACAGTTTCATAATTTTTCTATATTTGCAGTCTAACTGTATTCCTCCTATTCCTACCAGACACTCAAAAGTTTCAACTAGATTCTTAACCTCTGATCAATTAGTTTATTTTTGAAATGAAAGATTCCCATACAAGAAAGACAGACTCAATGCTAGGCTCACCCTTATAAATTTATATGTTA
Organism: Homo sapiens; assembly: GCF_000001405.40. Classification (NCBI taxonomy): domain Eukaryota; kingdom Metazoa; phylum Chordata; class Mammalia; order Primates; family Hominidae; genus Homo; species Homo sapiens. The sequence goes on from NC_000003.12 coordinate 83,652,711, forward strand.
GTCTCAAATCTTGTCATCTTTGCTGCTTTCTTAACTCTCAGATTCTTTGCATCAATATTTTAACAATCTTGGTCAGCTTTTCTGGTTGTTGTCAGTGGGAATTTTTTATTCAAATCAACAAATACACTAACCCTATATAGCAGAATCCCTGAATCACCCTATTTTAGCTAAATTACCGTTTTTTTTCAATCCAGGTGAGGCCACATATCTAAAGAGATGTATGAAGAAGGGATATGTGTAAATTCTCGCCCCTGTATTGAAGTAAGAATGTTCTTATCTTTTTTACTCTTTCCTCCTAAAATCTAGGCAGGGCAGTAACACAGCTTTGGCCATGCACATGGGGAAAGCACCCTTAACTGATACTGTGAAGAAACAACATAGAAGAAAACCGTGCCTTATTTGACCTTGTAGAATATAATCTGATTGCTCATCTCTAGACTACAATGTGGGTAGGTAATGCAATTGTATAGATTTACAATAGTACATGTTGAGATGTTCTCTTTACAACAGCTTGGTCTTTAATCAAATAAATACAACATCCAGATAGAATGCTGAGTAGGGGACTGAGTATCTTTCTGCAGTTCACAAAAGAGGTCTGCACTGGAGATAGAAATGCAAGAACCATCATATCTAGAGCTTATTTAATGCCATAATGCTGAACGATATAACAGATACTATATCATTCTTCTATATGTATCTACATACAGAAGAAAACCAGTCATTCATCCAGGGGACATATAAAAATTGAGTTGAGTACAAATAAACACAAAGGTTTGAGAAGAAAAGGCATTTGAGATTAAAGGAGACACAAGACTCAGGATATCTCAGTATCCAAAGGAAGAAGTTTAAAAAAGGGGGGTATGTCGACAGTATCAAATGTTGCTGAAACAACTGTATAAAAATAAATCATAAATTTCACGTGAGGATCATTAATTATATTGTTATGTGCTGTTTATTTTAACAAAATGGTAGCCTGCAAACCTGATGGGCATTGATTAATAAAAGTATAAGAATAAGGAAAATGGAGAAAGCTGTCAATATCATTATTTTGAAGAGTTTTAGTGCTAATGTGAGCAGAGGGACAAGACAGGTCTTGGAAGAGGAGGTGGTTTTAAAGAATATTTTCCATTAAATACAGCTGACATCATGTTCTATAAACTGATGTTCTAAAACTGATGGGGATAACACACACAAAAAGGGAAAAGTTGAGGAGTAGTCTTTGGTTAGATAGGAAAGGTTCATTGTTTTAATAGAAGGAAAATAAAGTTTATGAATAGCAGATGGAGGTATATTGTAGGCTTAATAATGAAGATATAGAAAAAATCTTTTATGATTGTTGTTACTCTTTTAGAAAATAAGAATAAAGGTAAATATTTGAGATAAAGCAGGGAGGAATAGATGTTGGAGGTTGGAGAAGAATGGGGAAAATATTAAAGAGTAAAATAGGCGATTAAAACAGCTGAGAAACTAAGGAATACACACAAGCTTCTAGGCTTTTAGACTACTTGAAATTATATGGGCAGGAACTTATAGTAAAACCAACATTTTCTATTTTTTCCCTAGATAGAATTTGAGAGGAATAATAGATTTAATCAGGTTAGGATTTTTGCCAGTTTAGTAGAATGTTTGGAGCAAGGGACAAAGAAGCTGTTGATAGACTCAATGTAATGATGGACAACAGAATCTAAGTCAGGATTTTTTTAAAAGCAGGGATTTGAGGAGAATCAGAAAGACTAAAAAGTGGCATATCCAAGATTGGACATCCTGATTGAGTCAAGAAATGATTGGATTCAGAGTCTTGGAACCAGATAAGGTAAACGAGAAAAATAAAAGACAATGGTTAGAAAGGATAATCTGCAACAGTGCATGCAAATGTCAAATGTAACATGAGATTCAACTTTCAATTTATTTTTAGTGATGTATACTTAGTATTTCCAACAGATTAATTGATGGCCTAGGTTTGGGGTGTTCTGATAAAGTTTTTATCTTCTGTTTTATTTCTTAAAGTATTTTAATTGACATATGAAAATGGTAAAACATATGACTTCTAAATAGATGACATCTTCACAGAGAAATCTTTTTCAATATTTATTTTTATATAAAGCAAAACTGGTTCAGTTTTTAAGCATAATTTTCATATATTTAACTCTGTAATTTTCATTCAGATTTTGTTCTTCCTTTCCTCTTTAGCAACTTCACAATTTATATTTCACATAGACAGGAAGTTCTTTTTCAACTCACTATGATTTTTCATGTAAATTAATCATATGAATTATTATTCTTATTATTATACAAAGGAATGATACCATTCCTTTGAATATAGCTATTTGTTCACTCTGGATTTTTTATGATCTGACTTTTGCAATCTTATGATCTTTGAATTTGTTCTTATGATAAGCTTGATAAAAATAATATACATTTATGATAATATATAAATAATGAAGTATGCTAATCAAGATGTCCATAGGCTTTTATTTCTTTATTTTATATTTATAAGAATAATAATGTGGAATTTCTGTCTCATAAAATGACTCAGCCTACTCCTGAAATATTATTATTCAGGCATTGTAAGACACTTTGTCACAGCATGCCTGCATTCATATATCATATTACATTTTATATGAAAATTGTAATCAAGCCATTGGTATTAAAGAGTTTCCCAAATTAGAAATGCAAAATATGCTTCAGATTATAAAACTCCTTCTTGAAAAGATTGGACCAGAGACAGGCTGTTCTCTTCAGTACCTTTCCTTACGCCTTTAAAGTTTAGATATCTAGCCAGTAATAACGTTCTGTGTCTTCTCAAAAGAGGCTCTTCAGTAACTTAATAGATTAGTGATGGGATTCAATGCTACCTGGTACTTTGCCTTTAATGCTATTCTTTCCATTTTACTTCATATCTCTGAAATTGCTTCCGACACCCATCAGCATGTCAATTAACTTTTCTATTTCTACTCTGTTTAGGTGTATTATTGAGTTTTATGTTCCCTTCTAATCATAAACAGCATAATTAGTACAAATTTCCCATTTTACATAATCTCTAAATTATAGCTGCAATTAAAATAAAAATGCTCATTTTTAAGGAATCTTGAGGTAATGTATGTAAGGGTGAAAGATAACAGGATTAGTGACAAAAGAGTAGAAAATATGTGTTTCCAGGCTCAGGAAAATGTGATCTAGCTGTAAGGGTTTACCTTGCAGAGTTCTAATGCTAGCACATTAGATGGAAATCAATTACAGTGAATGCTGTATGGGGTGTATGTGTGCTGTGGGGGGCAGTGTGGTGGTGGGTCATTATCAAACAGAAGAATTGTATAGGCTGACTAGATCTGACCTTTAATCTCAACATAAGCTTCCCATATGATTAAACAGATCCACTTTTCCGATTTTTTTTGCAATGGATTGTCAGGTCTTTTTCCTTCTTGTTATTTTTATCCCACGAATGTTATTTTATCGTCTTCAATTACATTAATGTTTTAGCTTATATTTTATTATTGCTCTATCTTTTTGAAGTAAAATATATTTCCAGCTTTGATGGCAACTGTACATTTCATTAACATCCTTCTAAACTTTTGAACCATAACAATTGTGAAGTGTTAATACAGCATCACCTATAAATGATCTGAAACTATTATTTGGGGATATACCTCTTAGTTATGAGTTCAAATCCATTTGCCAAGCCAATTAAATAATAATGTATAATTCAAGTAGTTTTTCACAAATAAATGTAAAAGTTATTGGAGCAATATCTTAAAATTGATTAGTCCATGACTGATTACTTCTTTGTTCAATTTGTATAATATTCTCTTGGTTGTTATTTAACTAGATTCATAATAGTATCCTTTATTATCATTTTAATGCTTTTTTAATTTGGGATGTTTTTAAATTTCATCTTAAATAATTTAACTAAATTATATGTAAGAATCTCGTCAGCATGTCATTGTCATGTACATGAAGTAAATGTCCCCCAAAGTTATTTTTCTTAGCATTATATCTTCATGTATCTTAGCATTATGTTTTTAAAATAATATTATTCTATTTCCAAAAATATAGTAAATTTCTTAACTATGTCCACTTAAAAGTTTACCCCTATTAACTAATGATTAAAATTTTCTGTTTTATGGGAGGCTGAGGCAGGCGGATCACGAGGTCAGGAGATCGAGACCATCCTGGCTAACATGGTGAAACGCCGTCTCTACTAAAAATACAACACCAACATGGCACATGTATACATATGTAACTAACCTGCACGCTGTGAACATGTACCCTAAAACTTAAAGTATAATTTAAATAAAAAAGAAAAAGAAAGAAAAACAAACACAAAGCTTTGGAAACAACAACAACAACAAAAATACAAAAAATTAGCCAGGCATGGTGGCGGGCGCCTGTAAGTCCCAGTTACTTGGGAGGCTGAGGCAGGAGAATTGCGTGAACCTGGGAGGCGGAGCTTGCAGTGAGCCGAGATTTCTCCACTGCACTCCAGCCTGGGCAACAGAGAGAGATTCCACCTCAAAAAAAAAGAAAAAAAAAATTCTGTTTTAACTACTAACTGAAGAACAAAGCAACACTTATGGGTATGAGACTATTCTCTAAAAAAATTCATGCTTTTACACCTGTTAGTTGTTACATGCCAACAGTTGTGTCTATTCCTGAAATGGATCCTATGAAGCATGGTATAATTATTTAGTTCAAACTAATATTCTGTAGCTGCCTTAAACATAAGTGTGAAAATGAAGAGAACATGGATTTTAAGGCAAACCTAGTTGAGTTCCTAGAAATGACCTATAAAGTCAAGAGGCTGGATAACTTTCTGACATATTTAGTGTGAATGAAGAGACTGAGAGTTTGGGAAATTAAGTATTACTATTCAGTGTTATTTTCCACTAAATTTGCTTTTTAACTGTCAAGAATCCAGAACCTTTATGTCCACACTGAAGAATCTGCAACTGGAAACCAAGAAACTGTGCATTTCAGGCTGTAGTTTATGGCAGAGAAGGCAATCCCTCTCAATGAGCTGATATTTAAAGAAATTATAACCACCACATGGAAAATGTCCATATTTCAGTTGACCTGTAATACAAATTAAATCATACTGAATTTTTTAAAAGTAATTACGAATGAGTTCTTATTTCCATGGCAAACATTTATGGTTAGTGCCAAATAAGGATAGTTTGAATTAAAAATAAACAGAATGTACAGAAGAGAGAATGAAGAAGTCAGCAGCATTTGTCAGATTGCTCTAAACTCATTGCCTAAAACAGAAACCAAAAATATCACTGATGACAGTGAAATGACTGAAAGGTAAGCACAATTCGATGTTGTATTTTTAAAAGCCATCACTTATTCAAAGGTAGAATTCAAAAATTAAAGGTGATTTTTCATTTGGAAATTAATGGCAGAAAAAATTAAGATATTCTCCTTGTAAGAAACAGAAAGATCAAAAAGTCAGAGGCACAAATCTCCTCCTCCCAGAAAGAGAGAAAAACAGACACATACACATTCACACATTGAAAAGACTGTATTTTGCTACTTGAAGAACAGAGTGCCCTTCAGCTAAGAATGTGGTAGGTTGCTCTAAATTGTCACATGCACGCACACACATGCACACACACATAGGTGACTAAGTATATATAATACCGCTACAACAGGAAATTAGAGTAAAAACACATTACTTGTTGATAATTATTTCCCCTAAAACATTATAAAGAAAAATTAAACTGCATTTAAATATTACAAAATAAAATACATATCGCATATTTGAGGATATTTAAAAACCATGTTTCAGGAGTTCTAAAATTAAAAATATAAACAGACAAAAATATGACATGAAAAGAGACTTGATTAAAATCCGAAAAGGTATGAAAGGAAATCAGAATATTCCTGAAAAACAAAAATTAGGGAGCTATAAACCACAAGCCACCTTAGTAAGGAATATTTCTAAAGGGGTAGAAAAGCAATAAAGACATGAACACGAGATAAAGAGCATTACAAATGTTTCAGAAAGAAAACTATCAAAAGAGAAAAAAAGGCAAAATGAAAATATAAAGAAAATTTGAGTTTCTGAAAAATATTTTTAAAGTGTGAAATAGAAGTTGTTTTTAAAAAATATAATTTTAAAAAAGCTTTCTTTAAATAAAAAGGGAAAATCTTTATATTGAGAGTACCCACAAGATGCTTGACATTGACATAGAATGATCAATTTGCTGTTGTTGATGAGACAGGGTCTCACTCTGTCACTCCGTCTGAAGTACAGTGGTGTGACCTTGGCCAAATTTATTTAAATTTTGGTAAAATGATTTTCCTTCAAAGATAAAGACAAATAGTGTAGTACTACCAGGCAAAAAGAAGCAGTATTTTTTTTTAAGTCCAAAACAATTAGACTCGCATCAGAACTCTCAAAAACAACATGAAGAGCAGAGAAAACAAAGAATAATATTTTCAAAAAAATCAAGAAAACTAGGTATAGACAAAGCATTTTATATCCATCCAAGCTCTCCATTAAGTATCAAAGCTATAGATAAATAATCAAAGATCTCAGAGAATTTACCACACTTAAACTCTTCTTGAGGGCTAGAGGAAAATCATCCAATTACAAAAAGACAGAAAATACAAGCAAAGGATTGATGGGGAGTATTTAATGTTTTTAGTATTTGACCTAAGACTGAAACAAATTTGGGACAAAAGAGTAAGAATCGTGTGCAAATGTTGCATATTTTGACCAACTATAAATAATGGACATAGACAGGAAAGATGATAAGGAAATATAAAAGTAGAATTAGTTTTTTGACTGTTGAATAGATAAAATACAGTAGTCAAATAATTCCAACAATACTACAGAAAATTAGCAAACCCGATAGTAAGAGGCATAATAAGAAAAGCATGGTAAAAACATGTCTGAGTACAACGGTAAATAGTAGAACAAAATACAAGTAAATAGTAGAACAAAACGGTAAATAGTAGAACAAAATACAAGTATTTCTTAAAAGGTAAAATGAAGAACAATGAAAATACATCACGGGGACAAGGAAACATGGAAAATATAGTGTACCATCTACGATGATAAAGAATAAGACAAAACTGAGACCAATTCTATCAGAGGCATCGATTAACATGCAAGCCGCTTAACAAGAAAAGTATTTTCAATTTTGTTCACAAAGCAAGATTCAACTATCTGCTTTGTACGAGACATAACTGTAGATCAAAGCAATTAAAAGGAAGCTGAGGTCAGGCGCAGAGACTCACACCTGCAATCCCAGCACTTTGGGAAGCTGAGGGGGGAGAATCATGAGGTCAGGAGTTCAAGACCAACCTGGCCAACATGGTGAATCCCCATCTCCACTAAAAATACAAAACAAACAAACAAAAAATTAGCTGGATGTAGTGGCAGGAGCCTGTAATCCCAGCTACTTGAGAGGCTGAAGCAGGAGAATAGCTTGAACCTGGGGGAGGAGTTGTAGTGAGCTGAGATAAAATGGAGTTCAAATGAAAATGTAACTTATGACAAAGAACAGTTTTTTCTAAATATTTGTTTTACTTAATTTGCAAATAAAATGTAGATATTTATGGTATGTGACATCATGTTTTGAAATATGTATATATTGTACTTTGGCGACATTAAACTAATTAACATACGCATTACCTCACATACCTGTCGTTTTTATCTATGTGTGGTATGAATGCTTAAAATCTGTTCTCTCAGTGATATTCAAGTATACATATTTATTAACTATAGTTACAATGTTGTACAATGGATATCTTAAACTTATTCCTTCTCTTTAACTAATTTTTTTTTAAGGCTAAGAGTGACAATTCACAATTTAGATAAACATCCTTGCACCAAATAGCAGAGTACTCACCTCTGAGAAGCAAAAGGAAATTCAAGCACTCTCAGTAAGACACAGAAGACATAAGTAATACAAATAAGTCAGATCTCATGAATATGTATCAAATTTTATTCTTCTATATTACATAATACATCTTAAATGTGGAATCTGTATTCACTGGAGGTAAGATTTAAAAAAGAATGGTGCTAGGACAACAGGACAAATTTTTGGACAAAACCAAAATAATTATTAAAACCATGTATCACACCATATAGAAGAATACTTTCGAAATGGCATCAGGTGCCTAAATATTTTCTTTAAATCCCTAAATGTAATAGGCAAATGTAAATCCTAAATGTAAGGGAGAAAAAATTCAATAGATTTTCCTACAGCATCAATATATGATTTAAAATATTTTATAAACCACTAAAAATAAGAATTTATGCAATAATACTGATATAAATAAAAATAGTAAATAGATAGAAGATATGTGATAGCTACAGATAGAAGATCAACATATATATATGAGAAAAGGGAAGTCTTTAGTTTATAGGTAATTTCCAAGTAATAAATATAAAATAAATGATGGAGTCACTAAATCATCATTTGACAACACAATATTTCTTACAGGCACTATCACTAGGGAATGGTTTAATGTTGTTTAAGGTATTAATCATCTATGCATCATGTTCAAAAGAATGATAAAATGAGAATAAATTACCAAAAAGTATCTCCCCACAATATACTTAAAGGGAAAAAAAATAGAAAAGTATCCATTGAGAAACCCAGCAGATACTGTGTTGCAGGTTTATTTCACACTGATTACCAACTCCTTTTACTCGGGCAAGACGGAACACCTGCACACATAAGTTACATACGGTGGACTTATTATTTAACAGATAAGCAGCAAAGGAGAACAAAAGACCAGGATTCATTGAGAGCATTTTCCCAAAGGTTTGCTGGTGTGACTGTATGCAACCGATTTGCACTGCAGCTAAGGAACCTAGGAAAGCATCCTGCCATAGGTTTTAAACCCCAGGGTACATGACACACTGGGCTAAAGCACTGAAGGAAGCCCATCCTATTTCTAAAAGAAAAAGCAAGACATTTTTCCAAATTAGAGAAACTTAAAAGGCATAGTAACTAATTCACCTGTGACCCATGATTGAGTCCTAGTAAATAAGTTTGCTTGTAGTGGGACATCAGGGAGACAACTGATGAAACTGGAATGTCTATAGATTAATTATATTCTATTAATATTAAATTTCTGATTTTGATAATTGCACTGTGACTATGTAAGGCGATGCATAACTTTCTCATTCTAGAGCATATATGAAGAGAAAGAGGGAAGATATTAAAACAAATGAAGTAATAAAATGTTAACATTTGTAAAAATCAGACAAAGGGCATATGGGATATTTTCATATTCTTTTTGCAACTCTTCTGAAATATGAAAGTATTTCAACATACAATGATTAAAGGCACTTTGCAATATTTTTACTTACATTTATTTGTTTATATTTATTTTTTGAAGCATAATATAGGGATAAGAGATTAAAAATTGAGAACAAAAACTTGTGAAATTAATACAGGACATAAAGCACAAAAAAGGTTTTAAAAAGTAAAACATTCAGAAATGGAAATGAATTAATTAAAGGAAAAGAAAATGCACAGACAAATGAATTATAAAAGTCAGTTATAGGAGTTTTGGAAGATATAAAAATATTTTTATTTGCATTATTTTTAACGTGGTAAACCAATGCTAGTTTGAGAGTTACGTTATAACCTAAATATAGGCAAAATGTAACTCCAGATTTTTGCTTATTTCTCTATATGATTATGCAACAAAAGATACTAAAGTAATTCATATATTCATACAGGAAACTCTTAAACTAGAACCGATGTCCATATTGTTGCAGAAAGTGCACAGATTTGGGAGCCAGACAGATCTGCATTTGAATCTCGGTCTTCCAATTTCAAGCTTTTTGACAAATGTTAGTTCCCTTTTTATAGGAAAGAAAACTGGCTAATTTTGTTGCACTCCGTGAATTTTAAGATGAATTTCAAGAACACAGAAGGAATTTAAATCTGCAGTTTTTAAGAGGCTAGCTAGTTTCATTCAGCTACCTAAATCTTTGCCAGAACATGATCCGTATTTATCCATATAAAATTTCCCCCCAGAAATTCTGCTTCAATGGATGTTGAGGTGGATCCAAGAATCTGCATGTTTAACAAGCACTCCCAGATGATCAGATGTAAATTACATTTTATGAATCACTGCTTTAGATGGAGAGGCCTCAAGTTAATGCACTGGGGCTAAGCTTGCTTTAAAATATTAATGTTTTATGAATCCCCTCTGGAAAGTCAGTTTACATGTATTTGACTAAGTAGAAAAATATAGAAAGAAAACTTTCTTAGATTATTCCTTCTTAATAGCAAGGATTATGTTTAGGGTAGAACAAACAGCTACTTTTGATCTTTTTATATATCAGTTATCAAAACAGAAAGGTTTTTCACAATGATTGCCATGTGTATTTTAAATCTCAATAGTGAGACTAAAAACATTCACAGATTGATCTGAAAAGGGAAAGTAACCTGAGGTGTCCAATGGTTGAAGGAATAATAAAGAAGAAAATAGAGAAAATGAATCATATCAATCAAGGTCCTTATAGATACTTAAATTACACAAATAATTATCTTCAACAATATCTGTAATTAGGGAAGTAGACAATGAAATCAATTGTGTGATATTGTAAAGATGATAGATAGAGACAGACAGATAGACTCATCATTATATAATAGACATTTCTGATGAAAACACCAAATAATATAATCTTACTTGCAAGAATATTTCTAGATTTAACCATTTCTCCCATTTTTTGTCTAATTGAGCATTATCAGGAAATTAAGTCTAAATTTAAATCTAAATTTCTTTACTTTTTTTTCCTTCTAATATTATGACCTGCTACTCCTGGTGAAAGAATATTTACTTATATGATTTTAAAAACACACAAACTGTACAAATTGACAGCAAATGTCAACCAATTACATTAACACCATATCAAATATAATATGACTAGTGACTGTGATGTAATTCATCAGTGCATTTACCTAACTGAAGGATCATTCACTCTTCAATAACAATCTAAGTGACATTTTGTGGAAGAGGGTAGCTACCTTCCATGACCACATCTTTGAAAACTGTATCAATTTTTTAGCTGCACTGATAGTAAACTCTAACTCCATTAAATTATACTCTCCCTCTCTTTTTAGATCTACTTTGTGCAAAGGAACAGATAATGTACATTTTCTTGATATAGGTTATCTATTTAAGGGGCCTACTTTGAAATTGCATGAAAAGCATCCTAAAACGTAAGGGAAATTATGAAGCATCAAATTAAAAACAATTAAATTTTTAAAATTTATTTATTTTTGGTTAAAAAGCCAATGGTTTCATTTTAGTAGATTGAATAGCATAAACAAGGACCTTTTTAATTAAGCAGACAATACCTGTTTTGTGAAAGATAAAAAGAAAATGCATCATTTGTGATTGACTATTGAATATTAGCAATTTTCTCTGATAAATTACATCTATCTGCTAAAAGCATTGCACAGTTATTATAACACTTGGTTAGTGCTATGAGTTGGAACTTTATTTTTGGTCTTAAGTCTTAGTGGAGGTAACCAAGAAATTTTCTCTGCTGTAGATCATACTATAAAGATTTGGATATAAAGTATGCAGTAGTATAGGTTCATAAAACAAAGTTAAACCTTATAAAATATAAGGCAGAAAACAGTACAGCATTTTTAACAGTAATTTGGAAGAAAAATTAATAAATAGACATAATTTAGCTTAATATCCTGTTTAAAGCAATACCACTAATTTTATTATTTAATAAAAACTAAAATAAAATGGACTCTTCTCATGATACATCTATTCAAATTTGAACTTAAAACTTATGTTTAAAATATAACTGTTAAACAGTATTGTTTTAGGGATAGTAAAGCCTGCTTTCACTGTTTCTGCACTGGTAAATACATTGCCTTATTTCTCATTTTCTCCTACTTTGACTTTGTAGTCATGCCCTCATTACCATATTCAATTAATTAGTGCAAAAAGGTAATATTCTAGTGTTTAGAACACATGGAGTTGCATTATTGACTCCAAATAAATAGGGCAGGTTCCTAATGGAGGCTGAGCAATGAGAGAACCCCTTTGTGAAAATACTAACGCTAAAAATGTGTTGCTTGACCAAAGACCTCTTATAAGGACAAAGAAACAGACAAAGGGAAAAAAAATAGAGATAAAAGAAAAAGCGTATCAAAATTAAATGTAAAAAAAATATTGCATTCATTTTTATCTCACTTTGACCAACTGAGTGGAATTAGAACAAAAAAAAAAAAAGTATTTCTTTAGAAACTTGACATCTCACATCCTGAGAGAAACCGCGATAATTATTTTGGCTTTGTAATATTTATATTTATCAGATTGTACACCAGCTGCAGAAAAGCATTTCAATCCATGGAATTTTCTGTATGTTCAAAAATTTATTAATTCCTTGCTGAGTTAATGCAATGGAGGTTTTCAAAGAGTGTTTTTCATAGCTTTGTTGAAAAAAATGGCAAATACAAATGTGACTTATGACTTGAGAATCTTATATTCTGTTCTGCCTTGGCAATAGAGTCCTTTTAGCATGCAGCTTGGAAATAAAGCCCTGCTCAAAGACAAGTTTTAAAGCATTCCCTTATGTTAGATTTTTAAATATAGCAAAATTCCATTACCTGTAACGGAGTACACATAATCCCCATAACATCTACAGCAGTAGTGTGATCAGCCACAGCCTGTTTCAGTCACGCTGATTTTCCCCCTTTCCCTCTTGTGACCAACTATTCAACACTTTTCCTACATGACTTGAATGAACCTCTCAATCTTGAATAAAATAATAGAAATGTAGCTTCAGGTAATACAGGTACTTCGAAAAGTTTCCTCACTATATCCAATTATAGAATGTCTTGTTCCCTTGTGATATTTTCACTCTGAAATGGGAAGCTGACTAGGAGGATCATGCAACTGTTTGTCCTCCTCTTCTTTGCTGTGTTCTGTGTTCACCCTCTCAATTCCGCAAGCCTCACCTTTTCTGGCCCTAGGTATGATTTTACCAACAGAACTTTTCTGCTTCTTACCTTTTGATAAGAATCCCCTAAAAAAAAAAGTCACAGAGAAATTATTGGTAAAATGGTCCAGAAGGAAGCATTAAGCCGAAGGGATTGATTATCAGGGAGAATATTGTAGAAATTAAATTCAGGTCTTACAGGACATCAATATACGTCTCTCTTTCTTTAGACTGCATTTTTGATTAATGTATCCTCCAAGATTCATTAATTCTTTCTTATGTTCATATACTTTACATCATTTTCTCCATTTCCTCCTTTTTTGAAATCATATTTTCTCAGATTATTTTGTCCTTGTAGAATTTTAAAAGTTCTTAAAATTACTATTTTTTTAGCTTTATCGTGGCATAATTAACAAATTAAAATTGTATAAATTTAAGATGTACAATGTGATGTTTTAATATATGTAAGCATTGTGAAATGATTGACACAACCAAGCTAATTTAGCATATTAATTACCTTACATAGTTATCATTTGCGTGTGTGTGGTAAGAAGACGACACCTATTCTCTTAGCAAATTTCAACTATACATTACATCATTAACCATAGCCACCATGTTGTACATTAAGTTTTCAAAATTTATTCTTTCTACAATTAAAAGTGTGTACCCTTTGACCAACATCTCTTCCACCACTCAAGCCCCTGATCACCACCATTTTACTGTTTGTAATAATAAGTTTGACTTTTTTTCTTTTAGATTCTACATGTAAGTGAAATCATGCACTACTTGTTTTTTATGTTTGGCCTATTTTACTTAGCACAATCTCCTCCAAATGTGTTCATGTTTTCATGAATGGCAGGATTTCCTTTTTAAGAGCTGAATAATATTCCTTTGTGTAAGCAGAAAGATAGGTAGATGATGATGATAGATAGATAGATAGATAGATAGATAGATAGATAGATAGATAGAGATAGAGCTTGAGCTAGAACTATATCACATTTACTTTATCAATTCATCTGTTGTAAGACACGTTTTTGTATGTTGGCTATTGTGAATAATACTGCAATGAACATGGGAGTGCTAATATCTATTCAACATAGTGGTTTAATTTTTTTGTAATATATACCCAGAAGTATCTTGACTTTTTGTTAGTCATCAGAGTGATTTTTAATGTTTGTCTATTTAAATTAAATTTCAATTAATGAATTATTTTACTTGTCTCACATCTTAAAAAAACTCACTCTACTAGGAGATTAATTATCTTACCTGGACTAAGTTTTTAATATGTTCCTGCTCATCGCATAGTAAACCATCTGCCCTAAAACAAACAATTGATTGAATTTTAATTAGTTACAGTATGTGTCTAGCCCTTTATGTGAAAAGTCAACATCATTTATGTTTTGACCCATATATAAAAATTTAGAAATTACATCTTATTAAAAACATATTGACCCTGGTTCTATAGCTAAAATACACACACTTCTGTTAATGTAGAAATGTATTTGGGTTTTTTAAATCAAACTCTAAAAATGATCTAACAGAATGCGGTGGCTTATGCCTGTAATCCTAGCATATTGAGAGGTCAAGTTGGAAGGATTGCTTGAGCCAAGAAGTTTGAGATCAACCTGGGCAACACAGTAAGACCTCCATCTCTACAGAAAAATACAAAGTAAAAATATTATCTGGGTGTGGTGGCACATACCTGTAGTCCCAGCTACTTGGGAGGCTGACGTGGGAGGATCTCTTCAGCCATGATCACACTATCACATTCAAGCCTGGTTGACAAAGGTATCTCAAAAATAATGAATAAATAAATAAATAAATATAACCCAATGGTAATTTTAAATTATTAGAAATTTATTGCTATTTCTGCTGAACAGCCCCATGTTTTATTAAAGACTTTAAAATATACATTGATATTCAGTTGATTTTCATTGACCTTGGCATTTTTCTAATGTTAATGAACTAGTCCTGACTATTTTTGTAATCAAATTCCCTTAATGCATATTGGCAGGTTTTGTCTCACAGATTTTATTGCAACAGAATGTTCATGCCTATTAGTTTTATGAAAGCTAATACAGAATAATTAAGCATGTTTAGTAATGCATAACAAAACACAAATTTCTCTAGAGATTATTTTGTAAAGTTCATTCATTTTTCCTTTTTTTTTTCTGGAAATACCACCATTAGCTCACTTAGATGAAGGGGAGAATCTTTGGTGGCACAACATCTAGAGTGAATCAACATGGATGAAAATAAAAACAGTACTGGTGGAGAAGAATATTGTAACATCTCTGAGAATTTTGCCTAAAATTTCTGTGAATACTTCAAAACAAAATAAAAGAAACAGAATGAGAGGCTGTAAAATTGGCATGATTTAGATGCAGATTTAGGTATGATTCATTATTCAATTACTGTAAAAGTGCAGTACTTTTCCAACACGTTGTACAAAACATACAACTTTACAGGGAAACAGTATATGGCATTAAAAATGTTTCCCTATATTCAAATTAGAGAAAAATAAAGCAGATGATGAGTAGTATAATTCCTTGATTAGGAATGATACCTGTCTAGACAATTCAGAACCAGTATTGCTGTGAGTTTTAAATAGACATTCAAATGTCAGCAAGTGGCAATGTATATTTTAATTATGCCGTCCTTAGCAGACCAAAGACATATATAAATTCTGGCATGTAAGTATAAGAATGAGACCTTATGTAGCAACAATACATATTTCCAAGTTTTTACTCCCGTGGAGTAAGAGAAATAAGTTGGAAAGGTAAAAAGTTTCATTGCTTCTCTTTCATTTAAAATATTTGGAGAAAAGCTCAAAGAAATTTGTTAAAATTTTCCTTTCTTTTTTCTTTCAGAATATCATCTTGTAAAAGTGACATTGTATTGTCCTCAAGAACACATCTTGGTTAAGAAATGTTGTTTCTCTCCTATGCTCCCTCAGGCTGAGTGATCTGTTTCTCTCCTTAAATGGCCTGCATAAATAGGGCTTTCTGGCAACTGCATCCAGCTGAAGCAAATTCATAACTGCTCTTGATTGCACAGTAACATTGTTTTTGCTCCATTCATTACTACATTAGTTCTTCTGTGTTCTTTTTGGCACTATGAGGGAGAATGGATCCTTTAGGACACACCTCACACGTAATAATTTGAAAAAGTATCCACATGTTCCTTACGAGTCTCATTCCATTGACAAAGACAGTAGGTTTTACATTAGAAAGTTTCCCACAGTTATAAAAAACTTCAATCACATAATCTTTGCTGGAGAACACACGCATGCAATAATTTAGACAAGCATATTCTTTAATGATAGGGTTATCTGGTTAAAAGTTTTAATATGTACTTGGTCTTTCTTTTACTTATTTCCTTTCTCATGTATATTATCTTTCAATTCAGTTTAATCCCATTTCAATCTCCTTTTTATTGAAAAAATGATATAAAGTTTCTTTTTCTGATAAATTTTGGTATTCCTTTATGTTATCTACAATCTAATATGAGATGTTTGAATAAAATTGTTAGTGAAACCACTGGGAAAAGAAAACAAATATCTTCAAATCCACATAACGTTTATAGGAAAATACAAAATCATGTGTCAGTCTTCCAGATTAGGTTAACCAAAAAATGTCTGTCTGAAAAATTCATTCTTTTTTTTTTCTTATATTAAGCAATGTCATAAGTGCTATTTTAAGCAAGGCCAGCCTTAGGGGTAAAAATGTGAAAAAGGTGAAGGTTAGAACTGGAGTTCCATCAATGTCAATGCCATCTTCTTTCTAATTCCTGTTGACACTCCACTTTTCTTGTTTCTCTTTGTTCTTCTCTCCTCTCCATGGTAACATGTATTTTGAGTTGACTGAAGTTCTGTGTGTGGCACTGGTTTTGCTTGGCAGGTGTCTTGATTCCCACTCCTGGGTTTTCTTTACTATGATAATAAGAGACCGTTCAGGAGCTTGTGTTAATGAGTAAGGCCCTATCCCAACCCACCATTCCCAACTATCTGTGCCCTGCTTCTCACTCTTCTCTTTCTTCCTCTCTCATCAGGTTCTAATAGTCTAAAAATACTACTGCAATCTGTTATTGTTGTTTGTAATATATCCCTTCTCACATAGAATATAAACTTTAAGATGAAATATCAGAAGCCACCATTCTCAAGGGCGTGAGGAAGGGCTTCAGACGCAGACAGGGCTAAGTTTAAATGTTGGGTTATTTTTCAGAAGTATAAAAATTTGATATGATATTTGTTCTTTTAGCATATGGCTTCCCATCTATAAAATGATCGATGCACATAATGTCTAACATTGTTTTTTTGTTTGCAGTAGGTACTTGTTAAGTGTCTGTTTAATTTAACAGTAATTTTTTTCAGTGCAATTCCCTGGTGATCCTCAATTCTCTATGAACCAAATATGGTAAATGGGATTCTTGGTCAAGATTTCAGCCTGTTCATAAGATAGCTACGGAAACAATAGCTTGAAGATACCTAGGCCCAAATTGTTAAACATTTGCTATTCACTCTGATAAATATTTTGCAGTTGTGTAATGAAATAATGACCAAAATCTTATTGTGAGTTTATGTGGAAACATTTTTCAAAGATTACACAGTCATGCAGGTAAGTGGCAGAAGCAGAATTCAAATCTACTTCATGTCTAATTTATATCTAGTGAAATATTAAATTTAGTCACATTGTTTTTACTATGTTAATGTAATATGATTTTTTGAAAAGTTAAATAAAATTATTTGTTGGGGTGTTCAAGAAAACACTGAAAATAATTTTATACTTTTAATTAAAAAATAAGTGTAAAATATGCTGTGAGAAATAACTTGCTTATTGGGAGCTCACACTAAAACTCACATTTTCCACATTAAATTACAAGCTTCTTCTTTCTATCTTTAATTTAGGAAGGAATTCTGGCAAAACTGGCCAAGCTGTTCTAACAGACTTGACACCATTTTGACAAACAAAGTACAGCACGCCCAGAGGCATTAGGGAGCAAGACTTCCCAAAGATCATGTGTACTTTGACCATCTGTGCATTTGAAATTTTTGAGAACATTAAATCTCACAAAATTGAATATTTTGCACAGATTTTTACATGCTTACATGCCTTTCTTAGTTTTGAATATGATTTTATGAAACTTTTATATTTAAAATGTTTCAGTAAATTACATTTCAGGATAAAGGATCTTATTTCACCACTATTTTTTTCTATCAGTTAATATGTTTTCCTGAAAAACTAGAAAGAAAGTGAAATATATGTTAAGCTCATATTTAAGAAATCTAAACTTCAAATATATTTTGAATGCCAATATAATAGTAATGCTCAAAAGAACTTGCAATTAGAAATTAAATGATGGAGAGGTATTTTGACTTCAACAATGGTAATGCAATATTCTAAAGGAATAGCAACAATTAGAATTGAAAATAATTGAATAGCCTCAAATTTTTTCATATTAAATATTTTCTTCTACAAGGTATTATGGCAAATAATACATAGAACCTAATAGTAATGAACATTAATTGATTTTAGCCACTGGTTTAAATTAATTATATCTTTTAATCTTTATAACAGGCTTTTTGGTTCTCTATTCAGCTTTTTTATTTAACAAAATACATTTTTAAATAGTTGTACTGAGATTGATATTCAGAATGATTAATTTGTTCACGGCTATATTGTGAAATCACACCTCAAATCTGAATTCAAATACTTGAACTCAACATTCATTGATAATATTTGGATTTGTGTCCTCACCCAAATCTCATGTCAAACTATTATCTCCAGTGTTGGAGGAAGAACCTGTTGGGAAGTGATTAGATCATGGGGACAGATTTTCCCTTTGCTGTTCTCATGATATTGAGTGAGTTCTCATGAGATCTGATTGTTTAAAATTGAGTAACACCTCCCCCTTCCCTCTCTTCCTCCTGCTCTTGCCATGTAAGATATGCCTGCTTCCCTTTCTGCCATGATTGAAAGTTTCCTGAGGGCTCCTCAGCCATGCTTCTTGCACAGCCTGTAGAACTGTGAGCCAATTACATTTACTTTCTTTATAAATTACTCAGTTTTCAGGTGTTTTCTTTAGAGCAGTGCAAGAACAGACTAATACGCTCATGGTCTTCACCACTCTGCTCTACTGATTCAACACAATTCTCTGAGTTTCCTAAAATCCGTATTTCTAGAAAATTGTAGACTCTCCTGGTGTTTGGAAATAAACATAAATTTCTAAGTTGCATAAGAAAGATTAAACTAGTAAGAACACTTGAAAGGATGGAAAATAGGAATAAATTTAACATATAGTTAAACCAAAATAAACCTATTTTGTACAGAATTTGGCAGGGGAATATATACATATGTGTATATATATGTGTGTGTATATATATATATATATATATATGTTTATTAAGGTCCAGCCTGTTTATATGTCTATTTAAAATGGGTATTTCAACATAAAATGGTATTTAAACCAAGTTCTTATGAACTTGCATTCAAAATTCGTAGGGAATAGCTAAACTTTATATGCACTTGTGCATAGACCTAAGCATATTTATCTCTGAGATACATTTTTATTGTACACATACTCAATAATTAAGAGATTCTGCTATAAAATTACAGTTCTCACCAATAAACTGGTGGTATTCTTTATTCTGGAATAGGTAAAGGAATGTTATCTGTCCAGCTTTAAAGGGTCCTCCAAGTTCTGAACCAGTAAGCATTGTTCATTTCCAGGAAAATCAAAACAAAACAAAAACAGAAACAAAAATTTTTAAAAACCTATGTCTTTAGTAGGATTTGCCAGAGATCAACTTTGATATGTAGATAGTACTAAAAATATGGTACATATTTTGAAAAGATTATTAATGCATAAAAACTCTGGAATGATATAAAACTATAATTCATTCACCAATACATATGCATTACCCATCCTTCTTATAGTAGGCATGTGCTAGGTTTGAGAATTTAATAATGAAAAAGTAGACAATTTCCATGCCATGACCTTACCTACATTTTACACAGTTTTGATCCTAAAGGCAACACATTTCAGATAATAAATTTGTTCCTTTTTTGAATTATTAACTTCTTATAGAGTCAATGGGATATAAGCTGAACTTTGAAGTAGAGACAGGATTTGAATATTTAGAAGAATTATAAAGCAACCTGGCCACAAGCAAAGCTGTGGAAAGAGAAAAGCCATGGCTCTATTGAGAGAAGGATCAGGAAAAAAGAGCCTCAATTCATTTTCTAATATGTAGAACAAAATTATTCAGTGTACCTCACTGTGGCATTGAGAATGTTAAGTTAATTTAAACAAATAAAGTTGTTGAGATAATACTTTGAAATGGTAGATATTCAATATAATATGGTATTCTTTCTCCCATTGGAATGCACATTGTGAAGAACAGATTGTAATGGGCATTGAACGATTGGTTAAGAGATGTGTACTTACTCCAAAGAAAACCATGATACTGTGTATACTCTTGGTGTGTGGTAATTAACAATTAGTCTGACAGTGGCATGCCGGGTGTGTTGAAGCAAAAAGTTTGGTTTTCTAAATAGAGATCCTGAATTATGATAAAATATACAGGAAGATATTGTTAATATAACTTTTAAAAACTGTATTACAAAAGAATTCAGATAGCAAGAGTTAGCAACATAAAATATAATCCATCGTTTACAGCTAGAGGATTATATTGATAAGGTTACATAATCTGTTTTGGAAATGTTGAAGAAAATTCTAATAATTTAAATATGTATTTTTAACTAAATGTTTACAATTATCTTTATATTCTATGTAATATTTATTGTAGGACCTCATATCAAAGGAATGCAGTGCATGCATGATGAACAAGACCTGGCAATTATTTTTTCTTATGGAACTTAAGGAAATCAAGGAAGACTTTTGAACCCCAAAAAGTAAAAAATAATAATAGTAATGGATAAAATAATTTACTAAGAAGTAGAAGAGGAAAAACATTATTTGAAGAAATACGGCAGCAACCATTGCCATTAGCCATGACTACTGGCTAATGTATACTAGTAGTTATGATTTGCAATTACCTACCAACATTTAATTGTCTGGTTCCTCTATGTGTTTGGTTCCAAGAGTGTACAGGTGCTATAACTACAATCAATAAAAAAAACAACATAGACTTAGACAAAGGCAGTATTTGAAAAAATATACTGAGTTTGGTATTTATTACCTATGTGAATTTTGGGAACCACTTATATTCTCTTAAAATAATTTTCTTATTTTGAATTTGAGTGAGACACCTCCCAGTATTATTTACTAATGTTACATGAAACAATAGAATAATTGAAAGTTTTTAAAGTTTATTACTTGTTAAAATAATATTCTGTTATTATTTCTTTTTACATAAATTTACTTAAAGAAAATTGATATCTTTAGAAATTGAATAACTGCTTAATGCATGATGTTTAACCTGAAGACTTAACTATGTGCAGGTCAGGAACTGTGAACATAATCAGCTCCTTATTTTAAAAATTTCAGAGCTCAAATTTCTCTCTTAATAAAGCACCTTGATGGTAAATACCACATTTTATACTGCATTAAAAATTCTAGAAATATTATACACCTTACTTATGCTAAATAAACATAGAGAAATATAAATACATACTGAAACATTTTCTTCAAAAGATAATTGCAAATATTTATATTAAAATTCCACTAAAGAGGATATGTGGATGCCTGTAACATTTTAGCCAATATTCATAATATATACATAAAAGTTAAAATAATCACATAAAGATAATATTATTTGTATCTCATTTGGTCAATAATGGTACAAATATTGTTTTGGATTAGCTTATTGCATGGTGTTGATAAGGTTACATAATTCATGGTTTCACAGGCTTATGAGGGGAACTAACTGATAAAAGTCCTAAAAAAGAATTCAGAAATATGTTGTGAGATTACTTCTAGCACAAACAACTCTCAGCACATAGTAAACCTAATCAGAAAAAAACCCTTTCTATGGTTTCATAATCTATATTGAAACACTCTGGCTCACTTTCTTGGCTGTATAATCCTCTTTCACTTGCATATAAAGAATATACTCTTCACAGAAGTATGAGGATTAGTAACAAAAAGGCATTAATGTTATCTTCTATATGCTTCCCTGTTCCAAAAGAGTTCAATACGAGATTTTTTTTGTTATTACTTAGAAACTTTCCAAAAGGCATATAGGTAACAGCAATCTTAGAGATAAGAAAACTAATTTAAAGGGATTAAAACTTTACCAATATGATGTCAAATATTTGCTTGAAAAGTGAAAAACCAAAATGTTCAATTGGCTGTTTTGCTGGGTCATCAGTAACATGTAGTGGACAAGCAAGTCTTCAATACTGTTACTTAGAAAAGAGCTTTTCTTAATGAACTATTTTAAATCATATACTCTAGATCAACAACAGATCACGTAAAACACTGAAAATGGCAGGACCTCAGAGATAATCAGCTTCTTAGAATTAAAAAAAAAAAAGAACACCAAGGAAATTCAGTGTCTGCTTGGATATAATGAGTTGTGATTTTAATAACCCCATACCTGCTGAGATATTAATATTCATATAGTCTAGTGAAAATTTTATTCTTCATATATTCTTTCAAACTTGTTAAAAGTTTGAATTTAGTATGACAATTTTTCTCAGAAATTCTATTAATTCATTGTCAATATTCTTACACACAGACACAGATTACTGTTTTTAGTAAAGTCATTTTATGTTATCTTTTCCCATAATTTAGCTTTTCCATTAAGATTCTAAAATAAATCTCTCAAGAACCTCTGGTTTACTTTATCAGGTTAGCACAGAATCATAGAATTTTAAGACTAGAAGAGAAAATAATGATTATCTGATCCTACAACCCTTCTGTCTTCTCTATTTAACTGCAGAATGGTTTTCCAAACTACATTTGAATGTATCTCTGAGTAAACAAATTTCGTATATATACAATTGTGTCAGATATGTATTTTTGATGTTGAGTTGAAATTTGTTTCCATATCTTCCATTTACTGTTTCTGTTTCTTATCCTTATTAATAAAGAAAACAAGTGTAATCATTTTGTTTGCCATCCTTCAATATTTGAATATTTCTGTAATGGTTTTTCTTCCCCAAATCTTATTTTTGGTATATTTTTATTAATACAGTAAACATTTAAATGGCATAACCACCTTTGTTTTTGGTTAAATGTACCTGAATTTCTTACATTCGACTCAAAGATGAACTGCCAAAACTTAATTTCTTAAATAAGATTTAGAGCATCTTAAGAAGGCAGAATTCTCCCACTCTCGATATAACTGCTAATTTAGATAAAAATAACTTATTTAGTGGTTACATTTCACATATTATACAACCTTTGATTAGTTAAAGTTTGATGCATTCTTTCCAAATAGCTGATGTAATTGTGCAACTGGCTTGTCTCCCTCTCTAAGTAGTAAAAATTTGATTTCTCTTTGTGAAGTATAATTTGTTATATTTTGACTATTATCCCTGATTAATAATGATTAGTACTAATAAATACCAGTGTATTTTCCCTTATTAAATAAAATAATGTAAAAACGTATAAGTGTATAAGTGTGCTTCGTATGTTTCTAATGGTAAAATGTTGAATATGGCTGAGTCGAGGATAAACTTACTAAAAAACTGCCTTCTCAATGGGAAGGATTAAAACTATAAGCCATCATATTTGTCCCATTCAGAAGGGTAGTGGTTTTTTTTTTTTTTTCCTTTCTTTCTAAAGTCAGTGCCTTGATTTTTTAATCCACCAGAACTTGGATCTAACTTATGCTTCATTGTTTCATCCCAAGGATGGCCTAATCGTTTACTATAATCCTTGTTCCTTTCTCACACACCTCACTTATCAATATGTAGTTTTTATTCTCTTTGGCTATATTACCGTGGCTTTAAAGGGCTTAAAAATGGAAATACTGCAACACATTTATAATGATTATATTTCACTTTTTTCTCACTTTCTTATCTGTCATTCCACAATTTTTACAGTTATAAATTTTGCTAATATAGTATTCTTTGTGATTATATTTTCTTTTTTTTCATTCTATTTTGCAGGACCTTATGCTTTCTGGTAAAAGACAGTTCAGATGGATGTGTCTCAAGCATCTTCATATTCTTTTGAGTCGAGAGAACACATTAATTATGTGAACCCATAACTTCTTATTTCTATTTTAAAGTCAGGAATTACAAACTGCTTTAGGCCCAAACTGACCCTCATATTTTTTAGGTAGAGTAGGAAAATGAAATAACTAGCCAGCTTTTTTGTAATTCCCTTTATAACTTTCTAATTTTAATAAATGCCTCAGAAACCACACTAGGTTTAAGTCGCCTTACTTCTGAAAAGATACTGCTTATGTACCTATTAATATTTCTCATGTTCTTAGGAATTATCTTTAATGTAAGATGTGGCACAATCATTTTTATTAGTAAATTATTACCTCTCATACCAATTTACTCAAGCCTCCAATAGCAAACAGCAAATGTATAGGAAATCCTTTCAAGCATTTAAGAGGATGTAATCTAAAATACAAATTAATGCATTGATCTTTATCTGTATATTTATTTTTCAGTTGAAATTTGGAGACGCCAAGTAGCTGTCTGATGGACATAAACCTATCAAGTTATATTATTAGATTTTTGATTCAACATTTCTTCTGTCAGATCTCTAGCTTTTATTTACTATTTTGAGTGGCATACTTGCTGGAAGTTCACACTTTTTCTGGTAATGGGTGTTTTTATCTTTCTTATCTTCTAGAAGAAATATTTGCATCAATATTTTTAAATCAGTAATTTTGCTTTTGTGTTTTAGTGTGTTTTATTTCATACTGTATTTCATTTTCAAAATTAAAGGCTTTAGGAAAAGTGCTTTTATTGTTATTAAACACAGTATATTCGCACTTACGTAAATTTCAGAGAGTTGGGAGTGGTCATCCCAAAGACTCTGAACTCATCTCTTGGCATAACTACAATGCACATAGACATATTTTGGATTTGTGTAGGATGCTAGAAAGGATAAAGAAATGTTTTAATTTAGCCAAGTAGTTTAATGACTTATAGACCATAAACATCCAGGTAGAAAGCAATGCCTATGTCTTTTCCAGTCCACTCTGGCAGTATTTACAGCCACATGTTCCAACGGATGCTGCATAATGTGAATAGGTCTCTTTACAATGAAATGCAAAGGAAAAAAATCATTATATCAAAAGGATACCTGCACTAATGTTTATCAACCCTATTCACAGCAGCAAATACATGAAATCGACTTGTGTCCATCAACAAATGATTGGAAAAAGAATATGTGGTATATACCATGGAATACTACTCAGCCATAAAAAAAATCATGTATTTTTCAGCAACTTGGATGCAACTGAAAGCTATTATCTTAAGTGAAGTAACTCAGAAATAGAAAGTCAAATACTCACACATGGAATCTAAAAAATGCATGCACATGGACACACAGTGTGAAATAATGGACAGTGGAGACTCACAAGCCTGACAGGGTAGGAGTGGGGTGAGGGATAAGAAATTACTTAATCGATACAATGTACACTATTTGGGCAATTGTTACACTTGGTACAGACTATACCACTATGCAATATATCCATGTATCAAAACTGTACTTGTATTCTCTAAATCTATAAAAATAAATTGCAAAAGAAAAAACAACTGATAGGAGAGGAAGGGAGGCTGGAAAGTAATGGGTTCAGTTATCGATT
Organism: Homo sapiens; assembly: GCF_000001405.40. Lineage (NCBI taxonomy): Eukaryota > Metazoa > Chordata > Mammalia > Primates > Hominidae > Homo > Homo sapiens. The sequence continues at coordinate 83,678,387 of NC_000003.12, forward strand.
ATGTACTAATCATATATTGTTTACAGTTTTATCAAAAATGTTCACTATGTTAACAATGCACAAGGGAAAAAAAAAACACATGCAGTGTTTCCATAGTGTATTTTACCTTGGGATTACTCTTCTATTAAATACACTTCAGAAATGCTGTTTTAGAGAAAAGAACAGACTGATTCCTTCTGTTCTAAAAATGACTCACCTTTAAATGAAATAAAATTAAATTTGAAATGCAAAGTTGTCCTAGATTTATATAAAATAAACATATAAAGAAGTAAGGTGAAAATTGAAGAGAGTAACACCATAATGGTCAATTTTTTGGATTAGACTCTCATACTTAATGGAATGGAAATAGACAATTTCTGTGCTCCCAGAGAAGAAGACTAACTCATCCATATTAACCAAACTGATAGGTTATCTGAGTAAATACCTGTGTACTATAAGCTATCTATGTTAACAAAAATTAGTCAGATGCAAAATAAAATACTGGCAAACAAAATACTGGCAAACAAAAAGCAGCACATCAAAAAGCTTATCCACCACGATCAAGTTGGTTTCATCCCTGGGATGCAAGGCTGGTTCAACATACACGAATCAATAAATGTAATTCATCATATACACAGACCTAAAGACAAAAACCACATGATTATCTCAATAGACACAGAAAAATCCTTTGATAAAATTCAACTGTCCTTTATTTTAAAAACTCTTAATAAACTAGATACCTTAAAATAATAAAAGTCATTTATGACAAACTCATGGCAAATATCATACTGAATGGGCAAAAGATGGAGGCATTCCCTTTGAAGGCCAGCACTAGACAAGGGTGCCCTCTTTCACTATTCCTATTCAGCATAATATTGGAATATCTGGCCAGAGAAATCAGGCAAGAGAAAGAAATAAAGAGTATTCAAATAGGAAGAGAGGAAATAAAATTGTCTTTGTTTGCAGATGACATGATCCTATATCTAGAAAACCCCATCGACTTAGCCCAAAAGCTTCTTAAGCTGATAAGCAACTTCAGCAAAGTCTCAGGATCCAAAATAAATGTGCAAAAGTCACAAGCATTCCTATACACCAACGACAGGCAAGCAGAGAGCCAAATCATGAATGAACTCCCATTCACACTTGCTACAAAGAGAATAAAACACCTAGGAATTCATCTAACAAGGGAAGTGAAGCACCTCTTCAAGGAGAACTACAAACGAATGCTCAGGAAAATCAGAGAGGACACAAACAAATAGAAAAACATTCCATACTCAAAGATAGGAAGAATCAATATTGTGAAAATGGCCGCAGGGTTCAATGTAATTTAAACATTTAATGATATTCCCATTAAACTACCATTGACATTCTTCACAAAATTAGAAGAAACTATTTTAAAATTCATATGGAACCAAAAAAGAGCTTGTATAGCCAAGACAATCCTAAGCAAAAATAACAAAACTGGAGGCATCATGTTACCAGACTTCAAACTACACTACAATGCTACAGTATCCAAAACAGTATGGTACTTGTACAAAAACAGGATAGAGCCATAGAACAGAATAGAGAACTCAGAAATAAGACTGCATTTCTACAACCATCTGATCTTCAACAAACCTCACAAAAACCAGCAATGGGGAAAGGATTCCCTATGTAATAAATGGTTCTGGGAGAACTGACTAGCCATATGCAGAAAACCAAAACTGGACCCCTTCCTTACACCTTATACAAAAATTAATTCAAGATGAATTAGAGATATATTGTAAAATCCAAAGCTATAAAAACCCTAGAAGAAAATCTAGGCAATACCATTCAGGACACAGGCATGGGCAAAGATTTCATGATGAAATCAGCAAAAGCAACTGCAACAAAGGCAAAAATTGACAAATAGAATCTAATTAAACTGAAGAGCTTCTGCACAGCAGAAACTATCATCAGAGCAAACAGGCAACCCACAGAGTGGGAGAAAAATTTTGCAATCTACCCATCTGACAAAGGTCTAATATGCAGAATCTACAAGGAACTTAAACTAATTTACAAGAAAAAACAATCAACCACATGAAAAAGTGGGCAAAGGACATGAACAAGCATTTCCTAAAGGAAGACATTCACGTGGCCAACAAACATATGAAAAAAAAGCTCAACATCACTAATCATTACAGAAATGCAAATAAAAACCACAAAAAGATACCAGCTCATACCAGTCAGAATGGCTATTATTAAAAAGGCAAGAAACAACAGATGCTGGCAAGGTTGTGGATAAATAGGAACACTTTTTTCACTGTTGGTCAGAGTGGAAATCAGTTCAACCATTGTGAAGACAGTGTAGTGATCCCTCAAAGATATAGAACCAGAAATGTCATTTGACCCAGCAATCCCGTTACTGGGCATATACCCAAATGAATACAAATCATTCTATCACAAAGATATATGCATGTATATGTTCATTAGAACATTATTCACAAGAGCAAAGACACAGAATCAACCCAAATGTCCATCAGTAACAGACTGGATAAAGAAAATGTGGTACAAAAACTCCATGGAATACCATGCAGCCATAAAAAGGAACAAGATCATTTCCTTTGCAGGGATATGCATGGAACTGGAAGCCATTATCCTCAGCAAACTAATGCACGAACAGAAAAGCAAACACCACATATTCTCACCTACAGGTGAGAGCTGAACAATGGGAATATATGGACAGAGGGAGGAAAACAAAACACCCTAGGGCCAGTGTAGGGGTGGGGTGGAGGGAGGAAGAGCATTAGAGAAAATAGATAATGCATACTGGGCTTAATACATAGGTGATGGGTTTATAGGTGCAGCAAACCATCATTGCACACATTTACCTATGTAACAAACCTATACCCTAGAATTTAAAATAAAAATTAAAAATAAATAAATAAAAAGTCAGACAGAATAAATGAGAGCACCCGTGATAAGCAAAAGGGATATTAAACATGAGTATAGATCTAAAATTTAAAGGGAATGTCACATACAACTAATCCAGACAAATATCTCCTTACTCTTAATTTTGTCAAAGGTTATTCTCATTTGCCAAGTAAAATTGATATAGTACTCCCTTTATACTAGTGAGTGAAAACTAATGTGATTTAAGAGAGTGTCATTAAAAATAATACTAAAATTTCCATTCATATAAAATATCGTTTACTCTCAAATTTTACAATGTGTTCAGACAAAAGCAAATCGATTTTTTAAATATTAAATTTTATAATATTCAATATTCTCTTCTTATACACTTCTTCCTTATTTAATGTCTATGAATTATCTAACTAATATCATATTATAGCGTAACTATAACGCTTCTCATTCATATAAATTTTCCTAGGAAAACATCTGTTAGAATTCTCTATCTGAAAAATTATGAATTTCTAATGAGATAACTTATTTTAACAATGTTTTTATTAAGCCAAAGAGATGCCAATTTTGTCTGTTAAAATGTAAATAACCAATAAAAACTAAAAGGAAAACATATATAGTGTCCCAAATATATGGAGTTTTCTAGCCAACAGAACTAAAAACGTACAAAAAATGAAAAAAAAAAGTTTTATAACTAAAATTTTCTACTATGTAGAAAGGTCTGTGGACTGTGCACAATTAAATATGAAAACAAAATGTTGAGGAATGGTAAGAAGGAAATGCATATCTATAAGGTTTTTTGTCCTTACCCTGATCCGGACTAAGCATGCATGCAAGAAAGAAATAGGAATTCCATTCCAAACTGCCAAAGTCAGTGTTTGGCAAACAGTTTCGATTAATGTAAAATGATCCAATTAACGCACCCCACAAAGGACTAAGAACAAATACCAATATCAAACAAGGCTGCAGAAAGAAATCTTTGAAGTAGCTGTTTTGAACAGACTATTAACAACATGAAATTCAGCTGAAATGTAACCAACCAGATGCTAGTGCTTGAATACAGCAAATAAAATAGATTGCTTTGCTATTAGGAAGGTCACATAAATTTCTCCTCTATGTCACTTAGAGCTACCAAGAGACTCACAGAACAAGAATCTTATTTTTTTGGATCCTTTCTAATTATTCTTATTTCTCTCTTTCATTTAATTCTGTTTGGTAATGTTTAGGGTGAATTTTGAGAAATAAAAAAATTATTATCTATGCTCCATATAACTTATACCCTTGACTTAACTGAAATAAGGGAAATAATGCAATAATAAATATTCAATGAAAAAATTGCTTCTGCAGGAATAAGAATTAAGACTGTTTTTCTTCCATTGTTCAAATACTTTCTATTAGATATCTGAAGTCTCTCCAATGGACACATCTGTTTTGGAAGTGAATCCTTGAGCACAAAGGACTTAAGGCAGTGAAATTATTCTGAATGATACAATAATGGTAGATACATACTGCTATATATTTGCCAAAACCCATACAAAATGCAGTGCAGAGCGAACCCTAATTTATGTAAACTATGGACTCTAAGTAATAATAATTTATCAATATGACTCATCAGTTGTAGAAAATGTAATATATTAAGAAAATATTTAATAATAAGGACAATTGAGAAAAGCAGTAAGAATGTATATGTAAATTCAGTACTTTCTGCGAATTTAAAACTGTTCCAAAAAGTCTATAAATTTAAAAAAATTAATACTTGCTAATTGACATACACCTTGATCTAACCAATATAAGCAAACTCAGTATATACTCTGGATTATGTGGCTTTAATACATTTTGCATAGCTTAGAACTTTTAGAACTTTATGAAAGTAGGTAGTTCAAGTAAAAAATACTCCAGAATTTTTCTGAGAAATATTGTGTTTTAATAGGTACTTTAGAGTTTCCTTTCTTTACATTTTTTTTCACCATATCATTTCAAGGCAATGTTGCTTTTTTTCTCATTTATAAGGTATAAACATAACCCTTTATATATACTGAATTGTGTCCTCTCACAATTCATGTATTAAACTGCTAACCCCTAATATAATGGCACTTGGAGATGGGTCTTTGGGAAGTATTAGGTTTAGATAAGGTCATGAAGGTTGGACTCTCATGATGGGATTATTATCTTTATAAGAGATACCAGATGGCTGGCTCAGTCTCTTCACAATATGAGAAATTACCAAGAAGGCAACCATCTGCAAATCAGTTAGAGAGCTCTGACCAGAAACTAACTATACTGGCAACCTGTTCTTGAACTTCAGCCTCCAGAATTGTAAGAAAATGAATTTTTGTTGTTTAAACTACCCAGATTATAGTATTTTGTTATAATAACACAAGGCGACTAATGTAAACTTTCATTGAGTTTAGAATATGTCAAGAAGTAGTGGAAAGAGTACTGAGCTAGGATTCAACATTTTGGGGCACATAGAGTAATTCTTGCAATAAACCAACTACGGAACATGACCAGTTATTGTGTCTTTTTAAATCTGAATATTCCCTTGTTTAAAATAGAAGGTTAGGTTGACTAAGCCATCTCTAGTTTCTCCCATTCAAGCTAAGGTTGCCAGATAAAACATAAGACACTAGTTAAATCTGAATTTCAGATTAAAAAAAAACTAAGGAGTTTTACTATAAGTATGTCCCATGCACGATGCAGGGCATGTTTCTACTAAAAATTTCTCTGTTATTGTTCTGAAATTCAAACTGGAATGTTGTCTTATGTTTCTATTGGTTTTGTTTTGTTTTCCAGCAACCTTAAGTCAAGCATAGTAGTTGTAGATTAGTGGTTTTCAAAGCTTAGCATGTAAAAATATTACCCAGAGGGCTGGAGAAGATGCTAATTTCTGGGTACCACTCTAAGAGTTTCTGATTCACTGAGTCTGGGAAAGGCCCACAAATCTGCATATTTTTCAAGTTCCCATGCAGTGCTGATGTGGAGAGAACCCGGATGAGATTGGACCCATGAGCATTAATATCCCTTTAAATTTTTTAAATGCTGTCACTCCATTAATCTGTATTTTGCCACCTGTGGATAATATTTTGTTTAGTATAATTATTAAATAATCATTTAAAAATTATAACTCTTTATATCTAAATAAATATTCTCAAAATATTTCGCAATGAAATAATATTTTCAAATATATTTGAATTAATTGCATGATTTTTGCTTTAAAAGGGTATAATTAATGTTCTGTACATGCTCTAGCCAATAGTTTCACTAAGTTAGGATGCATATAATATTAAATATGGTTTCTAAATAAAACGTGTGTTATCTGTAACCTTGACACAATCTACTTTTTCTCCTTTCCTTTGAGTCCAAACTCTCTAATGAACTTTGGAGTTATATATCTTCTGCAGTTCAAATAAATCCTGACTAAACAAATAGCTTTGGTGATAAAATAGCCTTAAGCTATTTTGCCGTTTCAGTAGATTTGTATGTGGGAAATACGATGTCTCTATTGAAAAGTTTCTGCATTCTTTCCTGTTTCTCATGAAGTGTATAAATCACTTATCCTAACTCTTTACTTAACAGCTTTATCTAGGATCTCCTTCCTGTCATGAACATGCCTGTGAGAAAAGTACCTTACGTGCTGTGGATCCCTGTCAATTTCTAGCCTATGATCTTTTGTCCCTGTGGAAACATATGAGGCACATAAATCAGTTCTAAATTTCTTTATCCAAAAGAGCACACTAATATGATTATGTTTCTTTTCAACCACAATTAGCATATGTATATTGATAATTTCCCACTCCCAGCACAGATCATAGATGTAGGACATAAGTAAATATTTAATGATTAGGACTTACAGTCTCAAACTTAATTGTAACAACTGTGTTTATGGACTTAAATTTCTCACAACATAATTAAAGAGGAAAAAAGGTAAACATAATGATAAAACACTAAAATTGCCAGAAATTATGAGTCACTTTAAAATTTCATTAAATAATTTTAAGGCAGTGAAGCTGATATAAAGCCAATGTATAGAAACATTACTCAAGATAATATATGCAAAATAATTGGTCAAATATATTGATTTCTGATCATGCACCAAAATAATCTGTTTACAAAGTTTCATATAATTCTCAACAAAACCCTACAAGAAGGTACTAATGTTGACCTCATTTTCTAGAATACTAAAGGACAACTTAGAGAAACAAATTAAACTTTCTAGGTCATATGTTTGGAAAGAGGCACATATGATCTCAGAATTTAGATCCTGCTTTCTTAACTTCTAAGCTATACAGCTAGTATTAGTCAGAATTCTCCGGAAAAACAGAATAGGATATATAGATAGATAGATGGAATCAGAGAAATATAAATATATCTTACATATAATATATAGTATATTATATATAGAAAGACTTATTGATATATATAAACATATTTATGAGTAATGCCAGCAAAATGGCGGAATAAGAGTTCCTAGGCTTCACTTCCATCCATAGAAAATTCAACTAGTAACTATCCACAGACAAGAACATCTTTGTGAAAATGCTACAACTTGAGAACAGGACTGAGATGACTGCATGAACCACAGAACTGAACAAAATACCAAAAGAAGGGGTAAGAAAAATGATCTCACTGACTACATTGCTCTTTCCCTCCTGAAAATTGGCATGGCACCACACAGAGAGAAATCTCCAGGGCTCATGGTTTCTGCAGGGGGAAAAGATGATTACTAGCAGACATCAAACTTCCTTAGTGTTCTGAGACACTTCTCAATATGCTCACTTCAGTCTCAACTCATGGGGAACACAGAGGGTAATGGCATAGCTAAACCACTGGAGTCAGGTAGAAACAAAACAAGAAGGAAGAGCTCACAGTGACTGGTGCACAGATCTTGGTGGTAACTCTGTACCTTCCAGTGGTGGTACTTGATCAGATGTACTACACAATAACATAGTCCACCCACAAAGCTAAGCTGGTCCTTGGACAGCCAGCATTCAGGTGCAGCCTCAGACCCTACCTGAAATCCTTGCCCTAGGAAGGGGATGGTCACCAGAGTGCATTTCTACAAAGAGCAGGAGTTAGGGCTCAGCTTGACCTCAAAGCCTACTAGGGAAAAAGATAACCACCACAGTGCATTCTAGCAGAGGAGGGGCTAGTTCTGCCACACACAAGAGTTTAAACAATACTCACCTCAGCCTCAAAGTTTATCCCAAGGTCCCTCCCAGAAAGGAAGATGACCACCACAGTGCATTTCAGCCAGGTTGTTATAATCTTAAAAGAGCCTCTTATAAGCATAAGAGATTTTATGTAGCCTCATAATAGCAACAAATGAAAAATCTACAGTAGATTTAGAAAACATAAGCAAGAAGGGTTCAAAGCATACCACTATAGAAAACAATCAAATTATAAAGGACGAGAGAAACAAAAGAAGAGGCAAAATATACTCAAAGGAACCAGAAAACAAACTACAAAGCCATTTAGTAAGTCCTTATCTATCAATAATTACTTGTAAATAATTTAAATTATCTGATAAAAAGAGTGGCTGGGGCTTGGGGTGATGTGACACAAGCACCCCTGTGTCCATTGCCACTGGGACTGTGCTAGAACAGACTGAAGCAAGAACACCTCTGGGTCTCACCCAAGGCCCGCTGTAACCATGAACTTGATATGGCCTACATTCTCTCAATGCCCTACAGCTCTACAATCTAGCTTTACAGGTTGTAAAGCTAGCCAGGCTTGTGTCCTTCCCTTCAAGGTCACAAGTTCCCCTAGACCTCAGATGTGCCTGGAGCCAGAGAATAGAGTCAAAAACCTTAGAAGTCTACGTCATGTTCTATTCTACTGTGGCTGAGCTGGCCCTCAAACCATGAAACAGAATTCTTCCCACCCTTGTTTCGCCTTTCCCCAAGCAGAAGAGTCTTACTGCATGGCCACCATCACCACAGGCCCACAGGGAGTACTTCCAAGCTACTTCCAGTGTTCACGTAAGTTCCAAGGGCTCGGCAGTCAGCTTGTGGTGAATGCTGCAAAGCCGTGGACTCACTCCCACATTGGTAGGCTCCCCTCTGATCTAGAGCATGTCCAGGAATGCTGTCCAAAAGCCAGGGACTAAAATTGGTGCCTTACTCCACAGTGTCCAAACTGACACCTAAAATACAAGACAAAGTCCCCTTTACTTTTTTCTCTTCTTTTCTTAAGCAGGATTCTTTCACCAGAGTCACCACAGGTAGGAATGTGGTAGGTGTCACCCGAACCCAGCAAGTCTCATAGTTTCACTCAAGGACACAGTGTACTACCTACATATCACTACTGGTTATTCAGCAATCAGGAGCGCATTATTCGGCAAGTGATAGTTCCTGCCAGGGCTGGGTCCTTCCCTTGAAGGCAGTGGGATCTTGTCTTGCCCAGGGTGTTTCTAAAAATGTACAGAAGCTAAGGCCTAGAATGGGGAGCCTCACAACTCTGGCCATTGCCCTATCCTGCTATGGCTGAGCTGGTATCAAAGATGCAAAACACAAGTCCTCTTTACACTTTCCTCTACTCTCCTCAAGTAGAAAAAATAGGTTTTTTTTGGAGCCACAAGCTTTACTGTCAGGGGTTGGGGAAAGGGTGGTGTAAGCACTTCCTTAGCTGGCCCAGCTGGTGTTTCAATAAGTCACATGCTCCCAACTCCATTGGCTCCAAGCCCAAATCAGAACTAGGACTTGCAGTCTTCATGGCCTAAACTGCCTTTCATGTTTATTTAAGACCCCAGAGCACTTTTTTTGGTTGTGGGACTTACTATAACTCAAGTTCCAAGTGCAGGAATAGGCGATTCTCTTCTTGCTAGGGATTGTCTAAATGCTGCCTTCATGGGCAGACATCAACTGAGCTCAGCCCAATTTTGCTTTCCACTGTTACATGGCAGCACTATGTTCAATGCAAAGTCTCATCATCACTGTGCTCTCCCTCTCCCACATGCACAGACTTCTCTGTACAATATGGCTGCTGCTGGAGAATGAGGGAGGGGTGTCATCAGCAATTCAAGACTGTCTTTCTTACCCTCTTCCGTGCCTCTTTTGGTGATATGAAGTTAGAACTAGGTACTCTGTGTTCTTACCTGATTTTTGGTTCTTATGAAGGCGCTTTTTACAAGCGCTTCTTTGGAGGTTCTAGCAGGGGAGCACAGCTATTTGTATACCCTTGACTGGAGAACAGTCTTCCTCTATGGGGGATGGACATCATCTTTGACCAAGCTCGCAGATTTGGAAGGGACACACATGGAGCACTGAGGGAGAAAAGGGGAAACCTGCCTAGCCAGTCAGATCAGCTGAATCAAGCGTGACAATCAGTTGGGTCACAGATGTTGCAGCCAGATTGCCCTCAAACCCTGAAGGCACTTTTTAAATGTAGATAGCTATTAAATTCGGTGTTCCTGCATGGGAAACAATCAGTGGTGTCCTTTTTTCCACCATCTTGCTTCACCATTGCTATTCTTTATTAATTATTGGTCTGGATGATGTGTCCATTGTTGAGAGTTGGTTATTAAAGTCCCATAATATGATTGTATTGCAATCTCTATCTCACTGCAGAGTCTTTACATTTTTTTGGTCATTAAAGTCCCATAGTATGATTCTATTGCAATCTCTCTCTCACTGCAGTCTTTAATTAATTAATTAATTAATTTTAAAAAATATTTTACTTTAAGTTCTGGCATACATGTGCAGAACGTGCAGGTTTGTTACATAGGTATACATGTGTCACGGTGGTTTGCTGCACATATCAACCCATCGTCCAGGTTTTAAGCCCCACATGTATTAGCTATTTGTCCTGATGCTCTCCCTCCCCTCCCCTCCCCCCAACATGCCCTGGTGTGTGTTGTTCCCCTCCCTGTGTCCACATGTTCTCATTTTTAAGCTCTCACTTATGACTAAGAACATGCAGTTAATTTTTTATAAATATATTTAGGTGCTCCAATGTTGGGGGGCATGTATATTTATGATTGTTATACATTCTTGATTATTTGACCCTTTAATCATTACTTAATGATTATTTTCCTCTCTTTTTATAGCTTACGCCTTAACGTTTATTTTTTTATGTTATAAATGTAGCTACTTTTGCTCTTTCTCTCTTTTGGTATTTATTTACATGTAATAGCCTTTCTTTCTTTCTTTCTTTATTCTTTTTCTTTTATTTTTAGACAGAGTCTCACTGTCTCACCCAGGCTGTAGTGCAGTGGCACAATCTCAGCTCACTGTACCCTCCACCTCCCAGGTTCAAGCAATTCTCCTGTCTCAGCCTCCTGAGTAGCTAGGACTACAGGCAAGTGCTACCACACCTGGCTAATTTTGTATTTTTTAGTAGAGGAGGGATTTCACAATGTTGGCCAGGCTGGTCTCAAACTTTTGACCTTGGGTGATCCACCTGCCTCGGCCTCCCAAAATGCTGGTATTACATACGTGAGCCACTGTGCCCAGTCTGGAAGTAATATTTTTTCCATCCCTTCCCTTTCAGCTATGCATATCTTTAAAGGTTAGGTAAGCCTCCTACAGGCAGCATCTAGTTGAGTCTTGTTGTTTTAAAAAATTCAGTGCAGCCACTCTGTCTTTTTATCATATTGATTTTGTATCCTGAGGAGACTGCTTAAGTTGCTTATCAGCTTAAGGAGATTTTGGGCTGAGACAATGAGGTTTTCTAAATATACAACATGTCATCTGCAAACAGAGACAATTTGACTTCCTCTTTTCCTAATTGGATGCCATTTATTTCTTTCTCTTGCCTGATTGCCATGGTCAGAACATTCAATAACGTGTTGAATAGGAGTGGTGAGAGAGGGCATCCTTATCTTCTGCCAGTTTTCAAAAAGAATACTTCCAGCTTTTGCCCATTCAGTATGATATTGGCTGCGGGTTTGTCATAAATAGTTCTTATTATCTACAACCATCTGATCTTTGACAAACATGAAATAAACAATGAGGAAGAGATTCCCTATTTAATAAATGGTGTCAGAAAAACTGGCTAGCCGTATGCAGAAAGCTGTTGGATCTCTTCCTTACATCTTATACAAAAATTAATGTAAGATGGATTAAAGACTTAAACCATAAAAACCCTAGAAGAAAACCAAGGCAATACCATTCAGGACATAGGCATGGGCAAAGACTTCATGACTAAATCACCAAAAGCAATGGTAACAAAAGCCAAAATTGACAAATGGGATCTGATTAAACTAAAGAGCTTCTGCACAGCAAAAGAAACTATCATCAGAGTCAACAGGCAGCCTACTGAATGGGAGAAAAGTTTTACAATCTATCCATCTGACAAAGGGCTAATATCCAGAACCTACAATGAACTTAAATAAATTTACAAGAAAAGCAACCCCATCAAAAAGTGGGCAAAGGACGTGAGCAGACACATCTCAAAAGAAGACATATATGCAGCCAACAAACATATGAAAAAAAGCTCATCATCACTGATAATTAGAGAAATGCAAATCGAAACCACAATGAGATACCGTCTCATGCCAATTAGAATGATGATCATTCAAAAAGTCAGGAAACAACAGATGCTGTAGAGGATGTGGAGAAATAGGAAGGCTTTTAGACTGTTGGTGGGAGTGTAATTAGTTCAACCACTGTGGAAGACAGTGTGGTGATTCCTCAAGGATCTAGAACCAGAAATACGATTTGACACAGTGATCCCATTACTGGGTATGTACTCAAAGGATTATATATCATTCTACTATAAAGACACATGCACACGTATGTTTATTGTGGCACTGTTCACAATAGCAAAGAGTTGGAACCAACTCAAATGCCCATCAATGATAGACTAGATAAAGAGAAGTGGCACATATGCACCATGGAATACTATGCAGCCATAAAAAAGGATGAGTTCAAGTCTTTTGCAAGGACATGGATGAAGCTGAAAATCTTCTTTCTCAGCAAACTAACACAAGAACTAAAAACCAAACACCACACATTCTCACTGATAAGTGGGAGTTGAACAATGAGAGCACATGGACACAGGGTGGACATCACACCCCGGGGCCTGTCAGAGTCGGGGGAGCTGAAGGAGGGATAGCAGTAGGAGAAATAGCTAATGTAGATGACTGGTTGATGTATGCAGAAAACCACCATGACGCATGTATACCTACATAACAAACCTGCACATTCTGCACATGTATCCCAGAACTTAAAATATACATTTTATATATATATATATATATATATATATATATATATATATATATATATATATATATATAAAATCACCAAAAAAAAGAAAGGGTTGTGTAAAATAGTGATGATTACAATAAAAAATTCTATGTACAAAATTCTTTACTTGAGCTAAAAAATCCCATTATAAGACCCAAATTAGAGTTACAGCAATGCAAAAATGTAAAATAAGGGAAAAGGGAACATTCTAGTTATTTTTCTACCTAATATTACCTATACAAATGAATCATATAAAAAATTTATTGTAATTGTAATTTATTGTAATAAAAAATAATTAAATATCAATAGTTTCATAAGACAAAAAAATTTTAAAAATGAAATAATATCAAGCATCTTCTCTGAACACAATGAAATGAAACTAAAAATCAATAACAAGAGGGATTTTGGAAAATATACATTGAAATTAAACAATATGTTCTTGTATGACCAGTGGGTCAATGAAAAAAATTAAGAAGAAACCTGAAATTTTTTTGAAACATATAATGGAAACACAATACCCCAGAACCTATGACCTACAGCAAAAGCAGTGTTAGGAGGGAAGTTTACAGCTATAAGTACCACATCAAAAAAAGAAGAAAAACTTCAAATAAACAACCTAAGAATTCATCTTAAAGAATGAGTAAAAGAATAAGAAGCTAAACCCCAAATTAGTAGAGGAAAAGAAATAATAAAGATCAGAGCAGAGATAAATGACATTGAAATGAAGGAAAAATATATCAACAAAACAAAAAGGTGGATTTTTGAAAAAATGAGACAAATTGACAGATCTTTAGTAAGAGTAAGAAAAAAGAGAGATGACATGAATAAATAAATAAATAAATAAATAAAAATATAAAAAGGAGACATTACCACTGATACCACAGAAATTCAAGATTATTAATGTCTACTATGATCAACTATATGCCAATAAATTGGAAAATCTAGAAAAATGCATAAATTCCTAGTCGCATACAATCTACCAAACTTGTGTCATGAAGAATTCCAAAACCTGAACAGACCAACAACAAGCAATGAGCTTGAAGCCATAATAAAAATCTCCCAGTGAAGTAAAGTCTGGGACCCAATAGCTTCACTGCTGAAATTTAACAAACATTTAAAGAAGACATAATATCCATCATACTCAAAGTATTCTTAAAAATAGAAGAGGAAGGAATACTTCCAAATTCATTCTTTGAAGCTGTATTACCTAGATACCAAAGTCAGACAAAGACACATCAACAAAAACTGTAAATAAATACACCACAAAACTAGAGGCCAATTCATTGATGAATATTGATGCAAAAATCCTCAACAAAATACTAGCACACTGAATTTAACAACACATTAAAAAGATCATTCATCAAGACAGTGGAATTTGTCACTCAGATGCAAGAATGGATCAACATGTGCAAATCAGTGAATGTGATACATCATATCAACAGAATGAAGGATAGAGACCATATGATCATTTGGATTGATGCTGAAAAAGCACAAGATAAAATTCAACATCACTTTACAATAAAAACCTTCAATAAATTGGTGCTAGAAAGAACATACCTAAACATAGTTAAAGCCATATATGACAGACACAGAGCTAATATCATACTAAATGGGGAAAAACTGAAATACTTTTCTCTGAGATCAGGAACATGATAAGAATGCCTACTTTCACTACCGTTATTTAGCATAGTACCTGCAGTCCTAGCTAGAGGAACCAGACAAGAGAAAGAAAGAAAGGGCATCCAAGTTGGAAAGGAAAATAAGAAGTCAAATTTTCCTTGTTTGAAGATGATATGATCTAGTATTTGGAAACACATAAAGAATCCACTAAATAATGGTTAGAACTGATAAATCCAGTAACATTGCTAGATACAAAATTAACATGTGAAAATCAGTGGGCTTTCTCTCTCTCCCTCTGTCTTTTTCTCTCTTTCTCCCTTCCTTTCTTCCTTCTTCCTTCCTTCCTCCCTTCCTTCCCTTCCTTCCCTTCTTTCCCTTCTTTTGTTCTTCCCTTCTTTCCCTTCTTTCCATCTTTCTTTCTTTTCTTTCTTTCTTTCTTTCTTTCTTTCTTTCTTTCTTTCTTTCTTTCCTTCCTTCCTTCCTTCCTTCCTTCCTTCCTTCCTTCTTTCTTTCTTTCTTTCTTTCTTCTTCCTTTCTTTAGATAGACTCTTGCTCTATCCTCCAGGCAGTGATGCAATCTCAGCTCACTGCAACCTCCACCTGCCAGGTTCAAGAGATTCTCATGCCGCAGCCTCCCAAATAGCTGGGATTATAGGCACATGCCAACATACCCAGCTAATTTTTTTATTGTTGGGGTTTCTCCATGTTGGCCAGGCTGGTCTCGAACTTCTGACCTGAGGTGATCTGCTCATCTCGGCCTCCCAAAGTGCTGGGATTACAGACGTGAGCCTCCATGCCCAGTCAAAAATCAGTGGCTTTTCTATATGCAAACAATGAACATCTGACAAAGACCTTAAGAGTGTAATCCTACTTACAATAGCTATAGGTAAAATAAAATACATATAAATTAATTTGACCAAAGAAGTAAAAGATCCCTACATGAAAACTATAAAGTATTGATGTAAGAAATTGAAGAAGACCCCAAAAAATGGAATGATAGTCCATGTTGTTAGAATGGCAGAATCAATATTGTTAAAATGTCCATATTATCCAAGGCAATCTATTTATTTATTGCAATCTCTATCAAAATACTAATGACACTCTTCACAGGAATAGATAAAATAATCCTAAAATTTATACAAAACC
This sequence comes from Homo sapiens, assembly GCF_000001405.40. Classification (NCBI taxonomy): domain Eukaryota; kingdom Metazoa; phylum Chordata; class Mammalia; order Primates; family Hominidae; genus Homo; species Homo sapiens. The sequence continues at coordinate 83,694,199 of NC_000003.12, forward strand.
ACAAAACACCCAGGATAGCCAAAGCTAACCTAAGCAAAAAGAACAAAATTGGAGGAATTACACTACCTGACTTGAAATTATACTATGGAGCTATAGTAACCAAAACAGCATGGTACTTGTGGAAAAGTAGACACATAAATCATTGGAGCAAAATATAGAACCCAGAAGGAAATACATACATCTATAGTGAATTCATTTTTGACAGAGGTGCAAAGAACATACATTGGAAAACATAATCTGTTCATTAAGTGGTACTGGGAAAACTGAATATTCATATCCATTTCTCACCCATATACAAAAATACAATCAAAATGAATTAAAGTCTTAGATCTATGACCTCGAACTGTGAAACTACTGCAAGAAACCATTGGGCAAACTGTCCAGAAAATTAGATTGGGCAAATATTTTTTGATTAAGACCCCACAAGCATAGGAAACCAAAGCAAAAATGGACAAATTAGATCACATCAAGGTAAAAAATATGACAAATTGGATTATATCCTGCTACACAGCCAAAGATACAATCAACAAAGTGAAGAGGCAACCCACAGAATGGGAGAAGGTATTTGGAAACTACCCATCTGACAAGGGATTAATAACTAGAATATATAAGGAACTCAATTCTATATGAAAAAAATAAAATAATTTGATTGAAAAATGGGCAAAAGACCTGAATAGATATTTCTTACCCCAGTAAAAATGGCTTTTATCCAAAATGCAGGTAATATTAGTACAAACACTACGTAGAACAGTTTGGATTTTTCCTCTAAAAATGCTAAAAATAGAGCTATCATATGATCCAGCAATCTGACTGCTGGGTACATACCCCAAAGAAAGGAAATCAGTATATCAAAGAGATATCTGCACTCCCATGTTTATTGCAGCACTGTTCGCAATAGCCAAGATTTGGAAGACACATAAATATCCATCAATAGATGAATGGATAAAGAAAATATGGTACATACCCAATGGAGTACTATTTAGCCATATAAAATATTGAGATTCTATCATTTGCAACAACTTGGTTGGAACTGGAGGTCATTATATTTACTGAAATAAGCCAAGCATGGAAAGACCAACTTCACATGTTCCCACTTCTTTGTGGGAGGTAAAAATTAAAACAACTGAACTCATGGAGATAGAAAGTAGAAGCATGGTTACTAGATGCTGGGAAGGGTAGTGGGGTGTTGGGGAGAAGTAGGAATTGTTAATGAGTACAACAAATAGTTGGAAAGAATAAATAAGGCCTAGTATTTGGTAGCACAACAGGGTGGCTATAGCCAAAAATCATTTAATTATACTTTTTAAAATTAATAAACTGATATAATTAGATCATTTGTAACACAAAGGGTAAATGCTTGAGGTGACAGATACCCAATTTTCCCTGTAGTGATGATTACACATTGCATGTCTGTATCAAAATATTTCATATAACTCATAAATATATACAACTACTATGTACTCACAAAATTAAAAATAAAAACTAAAAAAAATTAATAAGGAAACGTCACATTTGAACTATACTTTAGACCAAATGAACGTTAGAGACATATATAGAAGATTGCACTCAAAAGCAACACAATACACATTCTTCTCAAGGGCACACAAAATGTTCTCCAAGATAGATAATATCTTAGGCCACAGAACAAGCCTAAACACATTTAAGAAAACTGAAATTACATCAGTTATCTTTTTCTGAACTTAATGATGTGAAGCCAGAAATTGCTAACAAAAGAAATCTTAGAAAATCCAAAAATACATAGAAATTAACAACATACTCCTGAACAACTAGTGGGTCAAAGAAGATATCAAACAGCAAATTAAAAATACTTTGAGACAAATAGAAATAGACGTGCACATACCAAAAATTCTGAGATGCAGCAAAAGCAGCCCTAAGGGAGAAATTTACAACAATAAATGGCTATTTTAAAAAGGAAGACATATTTCAAGTCAATAACCTAACATTGCATCTCAAGGCACTAGAAAAAGAACAGACTAAATCCAAAATTATCAAAAAGAAGGAAATAAAAGGGACATCAAAGCAGAAATCAATAAAACAAAGACAAAAAAAGAAAAAAATAAAAAAGTATTGTTTTTTATAAAGAATAAACAAAACTGACAATTAGCTATACTGAGAAAAATAAAAAGAAGTCTCAAATAAATAAAACTAGAAATGAAAGAGAAATGACAATTGAAACTACAGATATACAAAACATCATAAGAGATTACTATGAACAGTTTTATGAGAACAAATTAGGTAACCCTTAAGAAACATATAAATTCCTAAAAATATATAACCTACCAAGTCTGAATTCCAAAGAAATAAAAAATCTAAACAAACCAGTAAAAGGTAAGCAGATTGAACCAATAATTTAAAGTCTCTAATGAAAGAAAAGCTCAGGGCATAATGGCTTCTTTCTGAATTCTACCAAACATTTGAAGAAGAACTGATACCAATCATTCTCAAAATTTCACATAGAATACTTTCTGGTTATTTTTTCTATGAGGCCAGCATCACTCAGATACCAAAACCAGAAAAGGACATTAAAAAAAAAATTCAGGCCAATAACACTGATGAACATAGATTAAAAAATCCTCATCAGAATACTAGCAACCCAATTCAAAAGCACATTGAAAGCATCATTTACCTTGATTAAGTGGGATTTCCCCCAGGAATTCAAGAATGGTTTAACAGATGTATATCTATAAATGTGATATACCACATTAACATAATAAAAGATGAAAGCTATACAATCATATCATTAGATGCAGAAATAGCATTTGAAAAAAATAAACATCACTTTGTTATAAAAAACTGTCAACAGATTAGGTACAGAAGAAATGTCCCTCAACACAATAAAGGCCATATATGACAAACTGGCACATAACGTTACAATCAACAGTGCAAAGTTTAAAGCTTTTCCTCTAAGATCAGAAGCAGAACAAGAATATTCTCTTTTGCCATTTCTATTTAATATAGAACTGGAAGTCCTAGAACAATTAGGCAAATGAATACATAAAAGGCATTTGAATAGAAAAGGAATAAGTGAAATTGTTGCTTTTTGCTGATGGCATGATCTTTCATATATATATATATATATATAAACCTAAAGACTCTACTAAAATGCTGTTGGAATTAATAAATGAACAAAGTTTCAGTTTACAAAATCAGCATACTAAAATCAATAGCATTTTTACGCACTCTTTCACAAAATGTACAAAAAATTAAAATAGAAATAAAATTTAATCAAGGAAGGGGAAAATCTACACACTGAAAATTACCAAACTTTGAAAAATAAAATTGAAAAAGACACATATAAGTGGAAACCTACTTTGTATATGGATTAAAAGAATTTATATTGTTAGAGTTTTTATAATATCCAAAGTGATGCATATATTTAATACAATCCCTTTCAAAATTCCAATGTTATTTTTTAGAGAAATAAAAAAAAATTCTAAAATTCATATGTAAATACGAAAACTACTCAATAGCTAGAGAAATCTTACATAAAAAGAACAAAGCTGGAAGTGTCATATTACCTGAGTTCAAAATACATTACAAAGCTATAGTAATTGAAGCAGCATGGTACTGACATTAAAATAGACACATCAACCAATGGAACAAAATAGAAATTCCAAAATAAATTTACATATTTATTTTAATTGATTTTCAACAAAGGTACTAAGAATAAACAAATGAGAAAAAAACTGTTTATTTATTAAAAGGTGCTGAGAAAACTAAATATCCATAGGCAGAGGAGTGAGATTGGATCTTTACCTTACACCATATACAAAAAATGACTCAAAATGGATTAAAGCCTTAAATGTAACATCTGAAACTAAAACTACTAGAAAAAAAACATAAAAGAAAAAGCTTCATAACATTGCCCTTGGCAGTGATTTTTTTTAATTTGATCTGAAAAGGTGAGGCAACAGCAACAAAAAAGACAAATGAGATTTTATCAAATGCAAAAGTTTCTGTAGAGCAAAGGAAAAAAAAATAAAAGAGTAAAGAGGAAGCCTACAGAATAAAAAACCTTGTAAACCATGCATGTGGTAAGAGTTAGTATCTAAAATTATAAGGACCTCAAATAACTCAATAGCAAAAAAACAAAAAATAAAAACTCAATTTAAAAATAGGCAGATGACCAAATAGGACACCTCTCGATGGAAGACATACAAACAACCAACAGATATTTGAAAATATGCTCAGTATCACTAATCATTAAGAAATGCAAATTAAAACCCCAATGAAATATCACCTGACACCTGGCAGAATGGCTATTTTCAAAAAGATGAAAGATAACAAGTGTTGATGAAGATGTAGGGAAAAGTGAACACTAGCACACTGTTGATGGGAATTTAAATTAGTATAACCATTATGGGAAACAATATGGAGATCTCTTAAAAAAGTAAAAATAGAGTTACCATATGATCCAGCAATCCCACTTCTGTATATATATTCAAATACTTTGAAATCAGTACATCTAAGAGATACTGCACTTCCATTTTTATTGCATCATTATTCACAACAATCAGGATATAGAAACAACCTAAGTGTCTATCAACAGATGAACAGAAGAAAATGTGTTATATATTCACAATAGAATACCACTTAGCCTTAAAAAAGGGGGATATTATGCCATTTCTACTAATATGGATGAACAAGGAGAACGTTATACTAAGTGAAATAAGCTGGGCACAGAAAAACAAATACTGTAAGAATATTCATGTGAAAGATAAAAAAATGAACACATAGAAACAGAGAGAATCATGGTTACCGGAGGCTGAGGAGTGGGAAGAATGGGGAGATATTATTTAAAGATTACAAAACGTTCAGTTAGACAGTAAGAATGAATGATAAGTATTTGAAGAGAGCTGTCTTAATTAGCTTGACTCAATCTTTCCACATTGCATACATATATCATAGCCTCACTTTGTACCCCATAAATATGTACAACTATAATTTGTCAACATCCAATAAAAAACAAACAAACAAACAAAGATTCATTTTGAGGAGTGGTCTCATGCAATTATGAAGATTGCCAAGTCCCACAATCTACTGTTTTCCAGCCTGGAGATCCAGGAAAGCCAGTGGTGTTATTCCAGTCTTAGAGAGAAAGCCTGAGAACCAGAGAAGCTCATTGTGTAAATCTCAGTCCAAAGGCAGAACATTTATGTCCCAGCTACAGAAGGAAGGCAGAAAGTAGAAAGGGGCAAATCTCTCCTTTCTCAGTCTTTTGTATTATTCAGGCCCTCAAGGAATAAGATGATGCCTACTGGCATCAAAAAAGACAATGTACTTTACTGAATCCACCAATTCAAATGTGAATCTGATCTAAAAATAACTTTCAGAGACACACTCAGAATTAATGTTTAATCTGGGCACCTGTTATCCCTATAAAGTTGATGCATAAAATTAACCATCATGCACTAGTAGAACCACAGCTTCTGAATATTGTAGGAGATAAGTTTGTTGATATACTACCAGAAAATATCTTCAATTTTCTGCTTAAATTAGGATACGAATAGTCAGCAAATTTTCTTCTGATCAAGATTTTTTTTTCTTTTTCATGTTACTTAACAGTAACCATTGGAATACAGAAGCATTTCTAAGTACATATTAAGAAAAAAAATCCAGTATCCACCACTTGTATCAAACTACAATAAATGTACAAGCAGATTTTACCACTTAGATATTATTATTATTATTATTATTATATTTTAAGTTCTGGAATACATGTGCAGAATGTGCAGGTTGGTTACATAGGCATACACGTGCCATGGTGGTTTGCTGCACCCATCAACTCGTCATCTACATTAGTTATTTCCCCTAATGCTATCCTTCCCGTAATCCCCCAAAGCCCAGCTGGCCCTGGTGTGTGATATTCCCCTCTCTGTGTCCATGTGTTCTCATTGTTCAACTCCACTTATGAGTGAGAACGTGCAGTGTTTGGTTTTCTGTTCCTGTGTTAGTTTGCTGAGAATGATGGTTTCCAGCTTCATCCATATCCCTACAAAGGACATGAACTCATCATTTTTATTTATTTGTTTATTATACTTTATGTTCTGGGGTACATATGCAGAACGTGCAGGTTTGTTACATAGGTATACATGTGCCATGGTGGTTTGCTGCACCCATCAACCCGTCATCTACATTAGGTATTTCTCCTAATGCTATCCCTCCCCCAGGCCCCCAACCCCCTGACAGGCTCCAGTTGTATGAAGTTCCACTCCCTGTGCCCATGTGTTCTCATTGTTCAACTCCCAATTATGAGTGAGAACATGTGGTGTTTTGTATTATTTTCTTGTGTTAGTTTGCTGAGAATGATGGTTTCCAGCTTCATCCATGTCCCTGCAAGGGACATGAACTCAACCTTTTTTATGGCTGTATAGTATTCCATGGTGCATATGTGCCATGTTTTCTTTATCCAGTTTATCATTGAAGGCCATTTCGGTTGGTTCCAACTCTTTGCTATTGTGAAGAGTGCTGCACTAAATATACATGTACATGTGTCTTCACAGTAGAATGATTTATAATCCTTTGGGTATATACCCAGTAGTGGGATGGCTGGGTCAAATGGTATTTCTGGTTCTAGATTCTTGAGGAATCACCACACTGTCTTCCACAATGGTTGAACTAATTTACACTCCCACCAACAGTGTAAAAGTATTCCTATTTCTCCACATCCTCTCCAGCATCTGTTGTTTCCTGACTTTTTAATGATCACCATTCTAACTGGCATGAGATGGTATCTCATTGTGGTTTTTATTTGCATTTCTCTAGCGACCAGTGATAATGAGCTTTTTTTCATACGTTTGTTAGCCACATACACTTCTTTTTTTGAGAAGTGTCTGTTCATATTGTTGGCCCACATTTCGGTGGGGTTGTTTGTTTTGTTCTTGTAAATTTGTTTAAGTTCTTTGTCGATCCTTGATATTAGCCATCTGTCAGATAGATAGATTGCAAAAATTTTCTCCCATTCTGTAGATTGCCTGTTCACTCTGCTGATAGTTTCTCTTGCTGTGCAGAAGCTCTTTAGTTTAATCAGATTCCATTTGTCAATTTTGGCTTTCGTTGCTATTGCTTTTGGTGTTTTAGTCATGAAGTCTTTGCCCATGCCTATGTCCTGAAATGTTATTGCCTAGGTTTTCTTCTAGGGTGTTTATGGTTTTAGTCTTACATTTATGTCTATAATCCATCTTGAGTGAATTTTTGTATAAGGTGTAAGAAAGGGTTCCAGTTTCACTTTTCTGCATATGGCTAGCCAGTTTTTCCAATACCATTTATAAAATAGAAATTCTTTCCCTATTGCTTGTTTTTTTAATATTTGTCAAAGATCAGATGGTTTTAGACATGTGCCGTTATTTCTAAGGCTTCTGTTCTGTTCCATTGTTCTATATATCTGTTTTGGTATCAGTAACATGCTGTTTTGGTTACTGTAGGCTTGTAGTACAGTTTGAAGTCAGATAGCATGATGCCTCCAACTTTGTTCTTTTTGCTTAGGATTGTCTTGGCAATAAGGACTCTTTCTTGGTTCCATATGAAATTTAAAGTAGTTTTTTCTAACTCTGTGAAGAAAGTCATTGGTAGCTTGATGGGGATAGTACTGAACCTAAAAATTGCTTTGGACACTATGGCCCTTTTTATGATATTGACTCTTCTTATCCATGAGCTTGGAATGTTTTTCCATTTGTTTGTGTCCTCTCTTATTTCATTGAGCAGTGGTTCATAGTTCTCCTTGAAGAGATACTTCACATCCCTTGTAAGTTGCATCCCTATGTATTTTATTCTCTTTGTACCAATTGTGAATGGGAATTCACTCAAGATTTGGCTCTCTGTCTGTTATTGGTGTATATGAATGCTTGTGACTTTTGCACATTGATTTTTTATTCTGAGGTTTTGCTGAAGTTGCTTATCTGCTTAAGGGGATTTTGGGCTGAGATAACGGGGTTTTCTAAATATGCAATCATATCATCTGCAAACTGAGACAATTTGACTTCCTCTCTTCATATTTGAATACTGTTTATCTCTTTCACTTGCCTGATTGCCCTGACCAGAACTTCCAATACTATGTTGAATAGGATTGGTGAGAGAGGGCATCCTTGTCTTGTGCTGGTTTTCAAAGGGAATGCTTCCAGTTTTGCCCATTCAGTATGATATTTGCTGTGGGTTTGTCATAAATAGCTCTTATTATTTTAAGATACGTTTCATCAGTACCAAGTTTATTGAGAGTTTTTAGCATGAAGGGGTGTTGAATTTTATCGAAGGCCTTTTCTGCATCTATTGAGATAAAGAAGTAAAGCGAGAAGAATCAAATAGACAGAATAAAAAATGACAAAGGGGATATCACCACTGATCCCACAGAAATACATCAGAGAATACTATAAACACCTCTACACAAATAATCTAGAAAATTTAGAACAAATGGATAACTTCCTGGACACATACACCATCCCAAGACTATACCAGGAAGAAGTCGAATTCCTGAATAGACCAATAACAAATTTTGAAATTGAGACAGTAATTAATAGCCTACTAACCAAAAAAAGCCCAGGACCAGGGGGAGTCACAGCCAAATTCTACCAGAGGTACAAAGACGAGCTGGTACCATGACTTCTGAAACTATCCCAAACAGTAGAAAAGAGGTACTCCTCCCTAACTCATTTTATGAGGCCAGCATCATTCTGATACCAAAACCTGGCAGAGACAACAAAAAGAGAAAAATTTAGGCCAATATCCCTGATGAACATCAATGTGAAAATCCTCAATAAAATACTGGCAAAACGAATCTGGCAGCACATCAAAAAGCTTATCCACCATGATCAAGTAGGCTTCATTCCTGGGATGCAAGGCTGATTCAACATATGCAAATCAAAAAACATAAACAGAACCAATGACACACATAAACAGAACCAATGACAAATACTACTTTGTTTTAAAGGTCATTTGTGTGCTCACAAAATGCAAGTTTAAAACGTTAGATTTCAATGTAGCTTTAAATAGAAAATCAAAGCTTTGTGTTAGCTTATTCAATGTTGCTTCCATTCTTCCATCTCGCTAGAAAAGTCTTCATGAAACTTCTGCTGAGTTTCTTTCAAAAAAAATTGCCCAAGGCAAAGTACCAGAGAAATAGTTAAAAATTATTCATAGTTTAAAGAAAAATCAGTTTATCAGTGTATAACTTTAATCCATTAAAGAAAGTTTATTGTAATCAATATTCCTTTAAAAACCTGTAGCCTAAAATAAATATTTATGAATTACTAACTTCAAGTTATTGTTCTTTGTCTAAATGCTATGATATTCAAGATTTTTTCATTTTAAAATATTTTCAAATTAATAGTACTTATTTTTGTCTTTTTTTAAATATAATATTATCTGTTAGACCTACCAATACCTCAGCCTATCGACTTCAAAGTGTTTTTCCCTTTGCTTTGAATTGAAAATTTTCCTATAATTAAGGCAGTCTTAATTTCTGTGATATATTTGTGTGGTTACAGAAGGCCCAAAGTATGTTAGTTGTGATGATGACAAAACCATCTTCATCTTGTCTGTCAAAAATAGCATCTATGTTCATGGCTTTATTCCAATTAAGAATGGGGTGAGATTCTCTAAAGTAAAGAACTTGAAATACCGTTGGGAACTCAAATGATTCAGAGTAAGAACCACATAGGAGACTAGCAAGAACCATTTGTAATAATTGCCTAGGATACCTTTTTTTTTTTCACTTTGCCTGTTTGCAAAAAAATGTGATGAAAAATGGTCTCAAAGGACAAAGTATGATTTTAAGTCTCCAGCAAAGCAGAAACAGCAGAAAATAATAATATCTTATGCACCCAAGTGAATTTAAGAAGATCAAAGAGAATGGTTAGTTGTCTTGTCCTTTGCTGCACACAGCAAAAAATGAAAACTGCAACTTTCAATAAAGCACTGCATAGACAACTCTACAAAGATGTAAGACGTCTCAGGACTAGAAAACAGCAATCTCAGACATTATCTTCAGTGAGTATATTTGAGAATAAATGCCATTCACCTTTATAGATGTGAGACAGATGATCATTTTAGTTTCTTTGTACGTTTAGGTATTATAGCCATTAAAAAAGATTATAAGTACACTGTTCTAAAATGTGGTACTAATATTAACCAGGATTCAGTATTGTGTAAAATCAGAGAATGGGGTAAATAAATTTAGTTCAACAGCCACCCTCTTTCCCTTTAAACACAGTGTAAAACAAGGTGACTTACATATAAAGAGTAAAAATTTGTTTCTTTCAAATTTGTAATTCTGGGAAATGGTGGTTTGGAAAGAAATATAAGCTTCCATCGTTGTCCTTTATTATTTGTACTACTTTCTTTGATAAAGATGACTTAAAAAGCAAACTGACGGGTAATATCAGAGAGCACAGTTCAACTAAATGGTATTTTATTCAATGATCTTTTCATAAAATATGCCTAATTGTTATGACTATATAATAAAATATTTGACAAAAACAAATGGAATGTGAAATGAGTTTACCCACATTTCTATAGATTTTTACAGAGCTTCAGAGACTGTGAGGTGTAAAATAGGATTCAGGAAACACACAGAAGGCTGCTTCACTTGCATATATTCTCTTACACTTTTGTAACAGTGACCTCTCTATTTTCCTAAACTCTAAGTTTATCACACCCTTTTTGTCCTGAGGAAAGTGTTTATAGTTTTCTCAACCTGTCAGGTTTACCTTACTCCTGAGACAGGCTTAGATCTGTTAGTTACGTGACTTGATACTCTTTTATTGTTTTTTAACTGTGAAAAGAAGTTTGAATTTTCAAAGCAGCCATGCAAACTAATTTGAAATGTGATCAATTTTATTCAAGGTTTATATTGTCCAGGCACTTGTCACTTTTACAGCCACACATAGAAAAGCAGGCGTGGCTGCTGCCAAAGTCAGAATTAAAACAAAACCGAAGTAAAATTTTCTATTGTATTTTTTCATTTTATGAAACTTACACATTATGTTTCTTCTTCTTTTACATGTCATTCACCTACTCTTTAAATGTCAAAGGAAATAAACATCCCTGAAATTATCAATGTCATTATTGCTTTATGCCTTTCCAAGATCAGTACAAAAGGAATCTTGTGAACATTCTGGTTTAGATAACAATAATTTAAATGTGTAATATAACAAATATGTTAAAGGAACCAAAGAAAACTTTGAAACATCTCAAAATACGGAAAGTTGCAAATATACAGTAAACATGAAACGACTAACAATCTAGTAACAAAATTGGGTCAGAATTCAAAGTACCTTAAAATAAAAATTATCAAAGTCCACTGATGTTTTGAACAACACCAGATATTCAAAATTAAAATAGATTTGTTTACTTCATGCCTTCTTTGCTTACAGGATAAAATGAATAACTGAACTATGCAAATAATTGTTAACTGAATCACTGCAGGTCAGAAAACTTTCACAAAACAGAGCAAAATTAATGCATATGGTAGAATTCATACACCCCCACTCACACCCCCTACACACATGTACATATAAATCAGATATTAACCTTCCCTTTTGCATGTTGCTCCCATAGTATAAAAGGGCTCTACTGTTTCTGATCTCTTGTCCTTGCTCCCCTAACCAATTGTATGGGATGAGACTTTTTGTTGTTGTTGTTGTATCATTAAGATTTCGTCTTTAGCTTTTATATTTCTCCGTATGGATTCAATAGTTGATGGTAGTACTCAATAAGTTTCCAGCACGGGAGCAGAAATCTGGAAAATTGAAGAAGTAGAACTAGAACCATGTATGATTTCATGTAGAGGGACTGCCTTAGTAGTAACAAAAATTAGGAAAGGCAGCAAGCAAGAATAAGCCTAAATACTGGAAGCATTTTGGGAGTGACGGCCTGGAGTAGGAAAAGTATATTTGTCTGCCCAGGCTGCAATAACAAAATACCACAGGCCAGGTGAGGTGGTTCATGCCTACAGCCCCAGCACTCTGGGAGGCCATGATGTGTCAATAGCCTGAGCTCAGCTGTTCGAAACTAGCCTGGCCAACATGGCAAAACTCTGTCTCTACAGGAAAAAAAAAAACAAAAAAAAAATTAGGTAGGTGTGGTGGAGTATGCCTGTGGTCTCAGCTACTCAGAAGACTGAGGAGGGAGGATCACTTGAGTCCTAGAGTTTGAGGCTGTCCTAGACAACAGAGTGAGACCTTGTCTCAAAAACAAACAAGCAAAAAACCAACCACAGATTGCATGACTTAAATAACGAAATTTATTTTCTCATAGTTCTGAATACTGGAAAGTCTATGATCAAGGTTTGGCATGGTTTGGTTCCTTGTGAAGACTCTCTTCCTGGCTGGTAAATGAGCACTTTGTCCTCATATGGCTTTTCCTATATAAGTGTCTCTAGAGAGAGAGCACAAGCTCTTCGGTGTCTCTTCTGATAAGTACACTAAGATGGGGAAAAAAACTGAAGTAATAATGTAATGCTGAGTTTTAGAATGACTCTCAGTGGAGAGAGGAAATAGCACTGTTTACTGTTAAAGAGATTTGTCTTCATTCAAAGACTTGACCTCAATAATCAAAATACAGGAGGTACTATTGTCTAGCATCAAAATAATGCAATATTAGCCCCTAGAATGATCTAATTTTTCAATATTTTTGTAGAAATTATGTAGATGTCAGCAATTTGCTTTATCAAAAAATAAAAGGCATTTCATAGAACGTCCTAGATGAATTAGTAATAACTTTTTGAGGAATACCCTAGATGAATTAGTAATAACTTTTTGAGGAAAACTTGAATTCTCAAATTCTTGAATATAGTTAAATGAAGGATGCTGGTAATTTCAAGGTGATGTTTGAAGTATGTAAAAACCCTTAGCAAATCAGAAATCATGGTTGGCTTGAAGAGATACCAAATAGGGTGCCCTGTGTGAACATGAGTTGTTTCTTTTAAAAAAATGTGCTTTATTTCTTCTTTAAAAAAAAATGGGATACATGTGCAGAACATGCAGGTTTGTTACATAGACATGCATGTGCCATGGTGGTTTGCTACACCTATTGACCTGTCCTCCAAGTTCCCTCCCCTCAGCCCCACCCCACAACAGCCCCTGATGTGTGTTGTTTTCCTCTCTGTGCCCATGTGTTCTCAATGTTAAACTCCCACTTATGAGTGAGAACTTGTGGTGTTTGGTTTTCTGTTCCTGTGTTAGTTTGCTGAGGATGACGGCTTCCAGCTTCATCCATGTCTCTGCAAAGGACCTGATCTCATTCCATTTTTTGGCTGCAGAGTATCCCATGGTGTATATGTACCACCTATTCTTTAACCAGCCTCGCCAGCATATATTTTTTCCTGACTTTTTAACAACTGCCATTCTGACTGCCATAAGATGGTATCTCGTGGCTTTGATTTGCATTTCTCTAATGACTGATGATGTTGAGATTTTTTTCATATGTCTTTGGCTGCATAAATGTCTTTTGAGAAGTGTCTGTTCATATCCTTTGCCAACTTTTTAATTTTTTTATTGTAAATATGTTTAAGTTCCTTGTAAATTCTGGATATTATACCTTTGTCAGATGGGTCTGCAAAAATTTTCTCCCATTCCATAGGTTGTCTGTTCACCCTGATGATAGTTTCTCTTGCTGTACAGAAGCTCTTTAGTTTAACTAGAATGCATTTGTCAATTTTGGCTTCCTTTGCAATTGCTGTTTTTTGTTTTTATCATGAGGGCTTTGTCCATGCCTATGTGTTGAATGGTATTGCCTAGGTTTTCTTCTAGGGTTTTATGGTTTCGGGTTTTACATTTAAATCTTTAACCCACTTTGAGTTAATTTTTGTATACGGAGCAAGGAAGGGGTCTGCTTTGAGTTTTCTGTATCCCTTCTAAAACCAGTAGAAGACTAGGAGGCCCCCTCTCTCCACTCCTATTCAACATAGTATTGAAATTCTGGCCAGGGCAATCAGGCAAGAGAAAGAAATAAAGGGTATTCATATAGGAAGGGCAGAGGTCAAGTTGTCTCTGTCTGCAGATGATATGATTTTATATTTATAAAAGTCTATCCCCAAAACTGCCGGAACTGATAAGCAACTTTAGCAAAGTCTCAAGATACAAAATCAATGTTCAAATATCACAAGCATTCCTTTACACCAACAATAGGCAAGCAGAGATCAAACCATGAATGAATTCCCGTTCATAATTGCTACAAAGAGAAAAAAAAATGCCTAGGAATATAGCTAACAAGGAATGTGAAGGATCTCTTCAAGGAGCACTACAAAACACTGCTCAAGGAAATAAGGGAGGACACAAAAAAATGGAAACACATTCCATCCTCATGGATAGGAAGAATCAATGTCAAGAAAATGGCCATACTGCCTAAAGTAATGTATGGATTCAATTCTATTCCTGTCAAGCTACCACTGACATTCTACACAGAATTAGCAAAAACTATTTTAAATTTCATATGGAATCAAAGAAGTCCCCATATAGCCAAGGCAATCCTAAGTAAAAAGAACAAATCTGGAGGCATGCACGCTGCCTGACTTCAAACCATACTACAAGGCTACAGTAACTGAAACAGCATAGTACTGGTACCAAACCAGACATATAGACCAATGGAGCAGAACAGTGACCTCAGGAATAACACCACACATCTACAACCATCTGATCTTCAACAAACCTGATAAAAACCAGCAAGGGGGAAAGGATCTCCTATTCAGTAAATGGTGCTGAGCTCTTTCTTAAACCTAGGGAAAAAAATTAATGTACATTAAAACAAAACAAACCTTTCTACATAACTTTATGGAATTCAATTACTCTTGATGTTTATGCATAGGTATCAGAGTAAGTGTAAGATTCTAGGTTTATCTAACAATAGCCACTAACTGGGAATAAAAAAGCACATCACTCTCCTTTATTTTTAAGTCAAGATTTTGGTGTTACTGCTAATAATTTCCTTCTGTTACTTTACTTTCTGTTACTTTATTGTAAGCAGAAACATTAACATACACGCAACATACATTCTCACAATCATGAAAACGGACACAAAGCATATTTAAAGTTTTATTTAAACTATCACAAAACATTCACATACATTGGATCCCCCAGAAAACTGAAAGATATAAGGGATTCTTATTAAGATGTTTTCATAGTGCCAACACTGCTAGGAAAAAATTGTAACAGCTTTTAATTCTGTCATTTTAATGAGCACCCTTTTTATTTTGTGTTTTGTATGTGTGTATGTTTGTTTGTGTATGCATGTGTTTGAATGTCATTTGTGTATGTTTGTATGTGTTTTGAATACCAGACATTTTAGCATATTTTTGTTTTTGCCTTCAACTATGTAAGTATTCATCAACTATCTGAGATGGAGAAATGTAAAATAATGCATAGAGTTAAAAATAATGAAAACACCTTAGAGATGTATTAGCTAAAATTTATGCTCTTTGTTACATGTGTGCATACTTTCCATTAAACATAACGAGCTCTGAAATTGCCATTGTCTTGTATTTGAAGCTTATTTGTAGTATTTCCTGTGTTGGACTTACCAGCGTCAGCACTAACTGGGTAGATACTGCCTGAATAAGAGCTAGCAGAATTGCAACTTTCATTATAGGTATGCTATGCTACCAATTTTGTGTGTCATTGTAGTCAGAGCTATTTCTCATAAATAAACACTGAATATAAAGTCACTTCAACATTTAAACAATTGCTTTCATTCTTTTAGATCATATACGTTAAAATAAAAGAGTACTAAAAATTGTACTTTGTTTCTGAAACATTTGAAAGTGATTAAATATTTAACTCAATGATAGATTTTTAAATGTCACTATGACAGTAGTACTCTGCCCACATGTGCATAGGATTAATGAAAAAAAAGGGCTCTCTTTTAGAACTTGGACACACTTTTAAAGTTATTTTTCTGTATCTTAAATATAAATGAATGCACAATGCTGGCAAAATGAAAACAGAGATAGGAAGGAAGGAAGAAAAGAACGAGGAAAGGAAGAGGTGGAGAGAGTGAGGGAGGAAAAGAGAACAAGAAGGAAGAGGAAAGGAAGAATATAGGGAATAAAGGAGAGCAGGCCTGAATGTAATCAGTTAGTTGATATCCCATAAGATATCAGCTACATGTGACAACTATACAACTCCAAATACACATTTACACAGAGTAATACATACAAAGATTGAGGACATTTCTCCAAAATTAATGGTTCATTTTATAAATATGTAGTCATTAAGAAAACTACTATTTGCATTTTTTATTGCTACAATATATCTTCATTAAGGAAACTATTTTTATTTTTAATTTTTAAACTTTTTTCATTTGTAAAATTTGTATTCATTCAAGAAAGCAATGTTAGCTTGCCAACAGCTTAATTTTAATTATTTTACCCCAAATCTGTTATTACTAGTGGAAATTCTTAGGTAATTTTTAAACACCTACCTATATGTTAACACACACAGCCACACTACCAACCTAACTAAAAAATAGTAGTAAAAAATATTTCTCTCACACCCATTTCACAGGAAGTCCAAAACACTACTCTGGTGTAATTAACTCAGGATTTATCATTAGATAAGAGAAACATTAGTTTATTTTCTAAAACTTGTAGATTCATGCAGAAAAAGTGAGAAATGCAACTCAACTCTACTAGTTTGAGGTATAAATGTTCAACATACCAATGATATGTAATGATATTACAAATCATCATGGTTAATTTTCCATGTAAACTTGCCTCAATCGCAGTACTTAGATATTTAATCAAAAACCAGTCTAGATTTTCTGTGAGGGTATTTTGTAGATAACATTAAAGCAGTAGACTTTTGAGTCCTTAATGTGAGTAGGCCTTATCCAACCAGTTGAAAGTTTGAAGAGTAAAAACTGAGGTCCTAGTGGAAAAGGGAATTCTGCCTCCAGATTACCTTCAGACTGAAGTTGGAATGTCACTCTGACTAATATACAAATAGTCTTTCACTCTGGCATACTATGCCAAATAAATTAATCTGGCAAAATCAAAATACAGTCAACTTCAAAAATAATAAAATATCAAATGACTAGGTGAATATTTCACATGATAAATTTAATGACTTTTGTGCTTATTCTTCATAGGTGTCATTTATGTCATGTCTTAAATAATTTGAGATAGCATTCTGTATCAAATTCTATACTACTCACCTTGTTTTACATGACACAACTCACATAAACTTTGTTACCTGAAATTTACAAAAAATAATAAATATTCAGCTATAAAAATTAACAATATTAATAATAAAAATGTTTTTATTTTAGTTTTATTTTTGAGGTGAAAAATGTTAACAAAAACATTGATAAATTCAGAACTAATTAAAAACTGTAAAATTTATTTCAAACAATATATTTCTAGTAATGTATATTTATTATACATTTTTCACATATTTCAAACAATAGAATATGTAGGATAATGTGAAAGAAATTATAAGCTAGTGATAACTATGAATCAATAAAATTACATTTGTATTTGATACATTAATACTTTTAACTTTTACATTTACAGCAGTTCCCTAGTCTGAATCCTAATTTTAAAGAAAAGATGCATCACCTTAGTATTTAATGCATAAAAATTGAGTGTCAATAAAACATTTAAAAAAGAAATCTTTTAACTATTTCTTACTGCTACTATGGCAATTTTCCAGGATTCCCAACGTACATAACCAAATATGCTGAAAATTTTTATTCTTCTAGAAAACATTCTTCAAAGAGCTTAATGAACAAGATAATTGGAAAGTACTAATAAACTGAGAGTGCCATAGCATTAATGATTTTGAACATAATAATCATATTACTTTTTAATAAGAATACTGCTATTTTTTGAGATATGATCATTTAAAAAGAAATTTGACGATACATTCTTAAAGGATAAGGAGACAGAGAGAGAGAGAGAGAGAGAGATACAAAAAGAGAGACCAATAACTCACATTAAGAATTTCTTCTCTAATTTCTGTTTGTCTTATTAGTTTTCCTTTTGCTTTTGTTCTGGAAGTTTAAATTTGATATTCATTTAATATCAAACCTCAATTTAGAAACAAAACAAATGATTGAATATTTTCACAACTATATTATTCACTAATGTCAATGACCTTTAACCAGAAACCACCAGGAACACATCAGCAGTTTCAGCAAGAAAGAAGATACACCAGGAGGAACCTTAGGAGGGTTTTAGGACTTACGGGATTAGCACTCTCATTCTGTGATTTTGGAAAGACTTTATGGAGTCATGGATTTACTCTTAAATTGAATTTGTTTTATTCTCAGGCAGCAGGATTAATTCTATGTATCTCTTTATCTAGAAGGATAAAGAGGCAGCAGTCCTTCATCTTAGCCAGAATAGGTGGATGTTGGCCATTTTTATGGCTTGGACAATGTTCAGTGTCTATGTTCAGACATGAGCACAGAGTGCTCTGGTTTTGTCTTGAATCATATGGGCAGGGAGTGACCTTACCGATGTTAATATTCAGTGAAACTGTGTGTTCAACAAAAGAACATCAGGACCTAACTACAAGTACAAGGCTAGATCCCATGTTATGGTGTTGCTTTTCTCTTTCTCATTAATGCATGTAAGATTTCTCTCAGACAATTTATACATCCCATTCCAGGTATTGGTAAAGAATGTCAAGTGAAAGTATCTTTCTGATTAAATCTTATGTCAGTGGGTTCAAGGGAGTCTTTTGATGCAGTATATACGTCAAACTCCTAAGGTCAGAGCAGAGAATGGTGGACAAAGAGTTTGCAAGAGGACTTGAGACTATCTAACTAAGAAAGTTACTTTGTCTGACTTCCAAAAAGAAAAAAAAGTATAGTAGCAATAAACTAATAAATGAGGAAGTTTTGAATAATTATTTTAGAAGTGCTTTTGTATTGGTGAGTTTTTATTGGTCTTTTGCTAAAAGTTTTATCTTAAAAAACATTTTCTGCAACATTTAATGATTTAAATTTTTTAAATCATGAATAAATATAAAAATATAAATATGCTCATACATATATAAAAGCTAGATAAGACAAAGAAATTATAGTCCCTTCAAACTCAACATGTTTAAACAGAACTTTTTCTGTTCTTCCAAGATAATTCTTTCTTCTCCTTTGTCCCCACATCTGAACCATTAACAAATTTTGACACTCTGCTAAAAAGTTATTGTATCCATCCAGTCTTCCCAGGCCCCACATTGACTATCTTAAGCTATAATGGTAGAATTTCTGGCCTTAATTATTGTCAGTCTCCTAAGTTTTTTTCACCTCCCGTCTTATTCTTTTCCCATCCAGCCCTCACAGTGATTTAAGAACACATTCTGATTATGCCCCTTTCTCTGCTTATAACTCCACAATGATGTCTGTCTCTCTTTAGAACAAAGTCCAGCTTCCTTGTCAAGGATTAGAAGGGCCTTAAGTTCCTCAACACTCCCTATTCATCCTCAAAGGTTTGGGGTAAAGCAAGTTTGATAGACTGGACCTCATTAGCCTGATCAAACCAATACTATGATGTAGAAAATGGCCACTTAATCATTTTATGTAAAGGGTGAAGCAAATACAATCCAAGCTTTTCTTTCAAAACATATTGATGCTCCTAAATTCTTCCTTTGAGTCCTCCAATGCAAATGAGAGTTTACCTCAATGAGCACACACACTTACACACATTATCACCCTATGCTCCAATTGCAATGTATTTATTTTATTTCTCATATTGTGACTTCTTTTCCCCCTTCGTGAATTAGCTCACAAGTTACTTCTGATCAGAACACTTTGCCGCTGTTACCTTTGTTTTACTGTCTCCACCACCTTCAGATTATGTGGATACATCTGACTTACTATTCATAACTCAGTCTAGCAATCACTTTCTCGTATTTGTGGAAGAAAGAACTACCATAAAATGCCTCTCTCTTCTGTTAATTTGGGAGCTCACTGAGAGTTCATGAAATTTATGTCTTTGTATTTTCAGTATTCACAACTGTATTTGAAAATAAAGTTAGCTTAATATTAGTGAGAATTTAGCATCTTTGAAGGTAAAATTATTTTTACCTTTTTTAATGTGTGATTATTGACACATTTCTTGGGGGAAAACAAAATAATCATACTCTTAATTTTCTGATGTAACCTGTCCAACTTGACATTCAAATGTAGGATAATGTACCTCTGTGTTTTTCTCCCCTAACACTCATCAATCGGCATTAATCTTCGACATCTTCTGAGTTAATAATAATCAGGAATCATCATTCTTTTATTTTGGCTCACATCATTTTCCTTTCTTTTTGAAATGTAAATATGTACCATTAGAAAACAGAAAAGATTAGAAATAAAAATATCAGATAATTGCCATTCAAAAGTGTTGTCACTAAAATACAGAAGAGATTTCTGTTTTTGTCACTGTAAAAACTATTCAAGTATAAAATGTAAAAAAGCTATCTTTGATGCTCTTTCTTGATCTCTTTTTGCTTTTATATTTTTGCGAATATTTTTCTAACTGTATTTGGTACCAGCAAAAGTTAATCTAACATTAGCCTGCATTCAACGACAGCAAAAAAAAAAATTAATTGATAGCAAAGACTTTGATCTTTCTGACAAATAGTATAATTTTTACACCTTTGCTTTATATTCCACAGAAGTTTGGTAAAATTGTAATTATTGCAAAAAAGAGTGATAGTGGGTTTGAAAATTATTTAAGCTTTTAGAGAATGTTTATTTAAAAAATGCCAAATTTCTTGCACCTAACAATAGCAATATTTTATTAAATAAATAAATTAAATAATTATTAATTATTTATTAAATAAACAAATGTTATTAAATAAACTTAAATAAATAGAAATGGAAATAATATAGTTATTGGTTGCAGGCAAATTTAGCACATCCTATATATGTGGAACAAAGTCTTTCAAACAAAATCATCGTGTGTACATACTTCAACATTTTATTTCACTTTGTGTGTGTGTGGGTGCGGGGGGTGGGTGGGTGTGTTTGTGTGTGTATTGAAAAGGTCCTTTTCTGACAAGTTCTACATTACCTAGCTTTCACATGCCACATTCTGATGCATAATATACATGTTCTTGTGGCGGGGGGAACTTTTGAAGTGTAAAAAGCATTTAAAGAAATTTTTTTGTTTTGTTTTAGAGATAGGATTTCTCTCTATCACCTAGGCTGAAGTATATTCGTGCAATTATAGCTCACTGCAGCCTTGAACTTCTGGAATCAAGTCATCCACTGACCTTGGCATCCCAAGTATCTGGGACTATCAGCCCGTGTGACCATGCTTAGCTAATATTTCAAACTGTTTTTAGAGATGGTAACTCGCTATATTGCGCAACTTGGTCTTGAGCTGTTGACCTTCAGCAATCCTTCTGCCTCAGCGTCCAAGTAAAAAAGTTTGTAAGAGTTTGAATGTAAATCCTTCTAGGTTTGTTTCTCACTTTCTCTAATATTAATGGTTAATGTGTTTCTAGCCACAATTTTGTTAGTTACTCTCTTGAATCTCATGTCATATTTGTAATTATGTATATATATTTGTAATTATGTATATATATATTTGTAATTATGTATATATATGTATGTATATACATAATTATGTGTGTGTGTATATATATATATACATAATTACTAGCTGATATGGCATAAACAGGTTTGGGATTAATGCTTTTTACTTGTTGAAAACCAAAGTACATAGGAGAGAGGAGATTCCTAATGTATATTTAGGATGCCATAGACATCAGTCAGTATATGTTACAGTGGGAAAGAAGAACCTTAGATTATCTGGACAGGCTGTTAAGTGGACATTCTTTAAATGACTTTTTGCTGTTTCAATGCCTGTAAGTAAAAGTAGTTAGATTCCTTAAAGTAAACTGTTTTCAAATCTCACCAAACATTGTGTATGTTTCATGTATAAGATGCATCAAGTATACAAAGTAAAATTCTCATTATTATTGCTGAAATCAGACATCCCAAGAATTTCTATACATTCTATATATCAGAAAAAATAATTACAATGTTTGATGTGTTATGAGCTGAATATTTTTGTTATTAATAACAAGATCAGTTTATTAAATATTTAAGGATTTATTTTACATATTTTCCAAGAAGTTTTAATGTCGACAAAATGAAATCTCAACCTTAAAACATAATGTTTATCCCAATAATGCTTTGTTATTAATTTTATTAATAAAAACAATCACTAAAACCAATAGTCAAGCAATAGATCACTCACTCCTGAATTAATGCATGCACATCATTCTGTTATAACATGTCTTTTACATGAATCCCACCTGTTTTTAGTGTAATTCATCAAAGGTGGGGTTATGTCTTCTCCATTATTGTATTCCAGCTGTAAATAATAGAGTCAGTTATATAATAGGCATTTGATATACATTTGTTGATTAACTAGATGTATTCATTCACCTTAACATATATCAAATTATTTAGCAATTCCTTCTGAAGTTTAAAATTTTGGAAATATATGAAAATAAAAAATTCAAGTCTGTTTCCTTGCAAATTGTAACTAAAATTATCTTCATATCTCATATAATTTACTTTACGATCGTATTAAGCAAATAGCTTAGCCTTTGTATCTCAGTTTCTTTTGTAAAATGAGACATTGGACTAGATAATTTTTATGACTATTTATATCTGCAACATTCTATAATAACAAATATAAAACACCCTTTTCTCAGCATTTCATACTTTCAATAATTTATAGGAGTTTATTTAACTTTCAGTTTTGGTTTCCTCTCTGAGTGCCTGAAGACATGGAATCCTCTGTATTCTACTAGATTCTCTTAGTCCTGCTATAGAATGATCAATTCAGTAAGAACCTTCTTAAAAGCTAAAAAGAAAAAAGAAATGTGTGTGCAATGTGGAATCTCAATATTCTAGGAAAAAAAAAAGAGAGAAGTTCTTAGCAGGAGAATCAATAGGGAACAAAAAGTATTAAAAAATGTGAATACAGTCCCAGGGAGATGAATCAAAGTGGCTCACACAAAGACATAGCATTGATCACATTAATCAACTAGAAAAGGTTCATGGAAAAGACTTTACAATTCTCATAATAAAGGTAGGAGTTCGGAAAAGGCTTTAAGAAAGTACATGGATATTGGTTGAACTCCCAGAGGGCACAAGACAGCAAAATATGGAAGTATTTATAAAACAAAGAGATAAAAGCGAACACTACATACTGACCTAAATGTCCCACCTTGAAAGTTTTGTTAGAACACCAATAGCTAAGTGGTGGGAAAGGGCCATTGTATTAAGCTAACTCCCTTAGGAAAAATAAGACTACTGCGGCTGACAAAAGTTCTTACAACCATACTGTATTTAGTTTCTAATAAGAGGTATCTAGAACTATTTGATAGAATTTTGAAATACATACCATATTCTTGAAATTTGAAGAGTAAAATTCTTTTTCTAAATTAATAAATATCTTGCTCTATTCTCAGGCCTAACAATGCTTTGAAATCCATGGAATTTAAAAATGACGGATAAAACCTCTGATTTTGCAACATTCAAGAAAGAAAAGGTAAAACATGATTGAAATATCTAAATTATATGTTCAGTTTATTTTAAAAATCCAGACTGGAAACCACTAGGGAATATATAAAAACAGACCTATTTTAATATAGATGGATGAAGACAGGCATTCAGCAATAAGAAAAGATTTAGTAAAACTCGAGGGAATATCATGTCTGTTTCTACTTTAAAAAGTGTGCAATATGTCCCTTTTCTTAATTTACAGAGTTTCTATTGTTTAAAGAGTTGAAAAAGAAGTTTACTTAGCATCAAAATTGAAGGTACTATCATTTCATAGGAAAGGAAGGAGAAAAAAGAAAGGGAGGGAGGTTTTATCAAAGATTCACATAGGTCTCCTGTGAGAAGCAGACAAAGATGTTGCGGATCCCCTGTCAAAGAAGATCTATACTTCAGAAGGAATGCCCATAGTGTAAAATTAAAAAGGTGTTCTTATATTTTCCCATACTGGTCCTACAGACATATTTTAATCTTACAAGAGATGCTGATTTAAGCCTTCAGTTTATTCAGTCCATAAATAATGTTTTGTCACAAATATTCAGTAAAATGGAAGGTATAGCAGTATGTTTTTGAGTAAGAGTTAGAATTTATTTGCATTGGAACCTTAAGCTTAAAGCGTTAACTTCTGTAACATTAAAAAACTGCAACTTATAATATAATAGATAATATAAAGATAAATGCAGTATTACATAGATTGTTCATTTCATACTGGGAATAGTATACAAAGTAATACAAACTGAATCTCAGCACATGACCCCAATTATAAAAAGTTTGAACGCCCTCTACATTTGAAAAAGGAGAGAAATATAGGCATCTATCTACACTGTATAATGAATGATGAATAGTAGAATTAAGTCATAGAGCTACAATTAAGTTGTCTTCAGATAATATGGCAAATACAAATTATAAAAGGAATAATAAATTGGCCTATGGCTTCACTCCATATGAATAGTTAACTATGAAGTGTCATGAAAATGCCAAAAATTTCTCAAAATACAATTCAATTTAATGTAATTAATTATTACATTATTGTGTACTTTTTAGGAGGCGGGAGAAGGGCAGTATATCTAAAAAAAGAAGGAATATGACACAGCCTAGTTTTTAAAAAATCATCAAACAATGCTTTGAGTTTGTACTCAATTTTTAAATTTGCGAAATAGAATCATTTGAGTTTATAGCTAATTACTTCGTAGATACATTTTTAAAAGTTGAAACACATTCTGAATAGCAAAAGAACAGAAATAAGAAAAATAAAGAATTTACTATTAAATCTTGTATCTTTTTAATCATACCACAATTCCTTAAAAAATGATTTAACACACGAAAGTAATACATACTGCTTTCTTGTTGCTGTTCATTAAATCATTTTCAGGTTTTCATCTGTTAAGTACCACTAACTTTTGCATAATTTTGCAAACAATTATTTGATAACCAAGACAGAATTTTCTACCAGATAATATTTAGCTTTACAACGTGATCAAACAACTTATAACTTGCCTAACTCATTTTGCTTAAGAAATTATTAGTTGAACCGTGGTGTTCCAAGGTAATATAAACATGTTATAAACCAAAGACAAAAGTAAATAATGGTAATCCTACATCTTTTTACATACCTATGAAGTTAGATTTTCTCATTTAAACACTCCAGAGAACCCTCCCAGAGCACACAATAACTATGTTCTCATTAAATTAATTGCCCAGTACTTACAGGTTTGAATACATTTTATATAGGTGATATTTTATCACCATTCTCCATCATTCAGTTATCCATATTTCATCATATTTCATACAGAGTTTTTTTATTTTTATACTATATTTTTATTTTTATACTATGATTCTATGCATTGTATAGCTTCAATAAAGATTATTCCATTTGCGTATCAAATATTTATGCTAAACCTACACATAATCGCTTATTTCCAAAGCAGCTGCAATCATTTGACCTAGCTACTAAAAGAACAATTTTACTAAAGGTCTAAATTCTTGCTATTTCCCCTTTGGGGTTATGCTTGTATCAATACAGAAAGGTAAAAAGGGACTGAGAGACATTAAATCATTTACAAAAATAGAAAATTATTTTATGATAACCATAAGGGCATTGGATAGTGTATGTGTACTCCTGTGTATGTATCTCTACATGCTCTGTCTTCCCTACCTTCTCCTCCCCTTCCTTCTCATCTCCTTCCCTTACCTTCTTTTCCCCTTGTATCTTTCTCTCTCTCTCTCCATCCATATATTCATTTATCCACTCATTTATTTATTTATACATCAATGCATCAACTACATGTCTGTATCTGTATGTGTGTGTACGTATGTATCTACCTATCTTTATTGGTCTATGTTTATCTATCTATCATCTATCTGTCTGTCTATTTATCTATCTATCCATTCTCTCCCTAAATATCTGGATTTCATTATATTGTTATGACAAATCCAAAACTTTAGTTAATAAATCTAGACTTATTTCCAACCTAACTTAGAAATTCACTTAAATATAAGGCTTGACTCTGGAGGTCATCAGCATCAGTTAGTGTTTATCTAGAGAAAATTTCTAAGTGTGTTATTTTTACAACAGAGACTCAAATGTGCGTGTACCCCAAACCACTGCCACACCTAAAATGTTAAAAATTCTAGTATTAAATACCCAGTCAGTATTTGCCTTTCTAGAGTCATCTTACATCCACTGTTATAACAATTTGTTTCAATCCGGAACAACAGTAACAAAAAGCTACTATCTTGCCATTTATACTTCTCAAAACTTTTAAAAATCTATAATTGTCCCTCTCTCAATTCTGATTATTTTATGAGTTTGTTGAAGAAAGTAAGCTATTCATTCTGTTGAGCTGTAATTTTACTAAGTATTCCTTCACAGTATCATTCAACATATTGCTCTGTCGCTTGTAATTTCATTAAATTGATGTTAACTCTAATGTGTTGATCTGATTCTGTCCCCTCACCCCCAAGATTACTTCAGAGATGTGTAGGTTTCCATCAAGAAGCACATAAATGGTGATCATTATATTTTATATTCTGTAATGAAATAAAGAACTGAACTGCCCAGATTCATTATTTTATTATGGAATGCAAAACGTTGAATTTCTAATTCTAGCAGTAGTTTTTTTAACTGGAACACTGTGAAGAGCAATGTCCCCTTAATAATTATTTGGCTATTCTGAGGCAGAGTTTCTACTTGGAAAGCAGAGTAAAAGGTCGATTATTTCTCTTCATTTGCCAGTACAAATATGTGTTGCTTAATGATAGCGATATGTTCTGAGGAGTGCATCGTTAGGCAATTTTGTCGTGTGAACATCCTGGACTATACTTTCACAAACCTAGCTGGTATAGCATACTACACACCTAGTCTATATGGGATAGCCTATTGCTTCTAGGCTACAAACCTGTACAGCATGTTATGGTACTGAATACTGTAGGCAACTGGAACACAATGGTAATTATTTGTGAACCAAAACATACCTAAACATAAAAAAGTTACAGTAAAAATACGGTACAAAAGATTAAAAATGGTACACCTATATAAGGCACTTATCATAATTGAAACTTACAGGACTAGACGTTGCCCTGGGTGAGTCAGTGAGTAAATGTGAAGGTCTAGGACATTACCATGTACTACCATAGACTTTATATAAACATTGTACATTTTGGCTACACTAAATTTATTTTAAAAATTTATTTTCTCAATAATAATTTAACCATAGCCTAATGTAACATTTCACTTTACAAACATTTTCATTTTTAAACTTTTTGACTCTTGTAATAATACTTAGCTTAGAACACAAACACATCATACTGCTGTACAAAACTATTTCTTTTTATATTCATATTCTCTAAGCTTTATGCAATGTTTAATTTTTTTCAACTTTATAAACATTTAGTTAAAAACTAAGAGATAAACACACATAGTAGCCTAGCCCTGCACCGGGTCAGAGTAATAAATGTCATTGTCTTCTGTCTCCACGTCTTGTCCCACTGGAAGTTCTTCAGGTGCAGTAACATGCATGGAGCTGTCATTTCCTATGATAACAAGGACTTGTTCTAAAACACCTCCTGAAGGACTTGCCCGAGGCTATTTTAAAGTGAACTTTTTAACAATTATGTTGAATTACTACGCGAAAATAACAAGACATATAGTATAGTAAATATATAAACCAGTAACATGCTTCTTTACTATCAAGTTTTATGTACCATACACAACTGTGTGTGCTATACTTTTATACAAGTGGCAGTGCAGTAAGTGTGTTTACACCAGCATCCCCACAGACACATCTGTAAGGCATTGCACTATCACTTTACGAAGGCTACGACATCATTGGGTGATAGAAATTTTTTAGCTCCCTTATAATTTTATGGGACCACTGTGGTATGTACGGTTTGTCTTTGGCCAAAACATTGTTATGCCGCACATGATTGTATTTAGAATATAGAGTTGCTCTCCTTACACACATTTTTGGCTGACATAATCTCCTGGATTCAAATATATTTAATGTTTCAATACTTTATAATGATTATGCTTATTGATGCTCCTATGTTGTCCTATATTTGGGCAATGGGAGCAAATGCAGGATAGCTTTTAAGTGTTCTTGACATGACCTCTAATCTTTGACAATTTTCTTATTTCTGGTATGAAAATATTTGTATTATTTTTATCATATAACTGGAATCAGCTATTTCTCCTAGAAATCTTCATCCCTACTAGTGAGAAAAACAGGGGACATTAATCTCACTGCTATTAAATTCATCATAATTTCTATCCTCTTTCAGGACATAAACCTAAAAAATACACATATGTATATATTTTAGTGATAAAATATATACATTCATTCTGTTTTTCTAGATCATATCTAAGCTTCTGGAATTTTACTTATGTGATTTTATATTTATGTGCCATTGATACTTACAACCTTGATTAATAACTGTGTTGTCTTAATTAATGGTTTGCTTCAACGTACGTGCCAGTTTCAGGAGACAATACCAGCATTACTAACAACAATATGATTAGAAAAAAACAGGTTTTTTTGGTGGTGTTGTTTTGGGTTTTTTGTTGTTGTTTGTTTTTTGTTTGCTTGCTTTTTTGAGACAGAGTTTCACTCTTGTTGCCCAGGCTGGAGTGCAGTGGCGCGATCTCAGCTCAACACAACCACTGCCTCCCGGGATCAAGTGATTCTCCTGCCTCAGCCTCCCGAGTAGCTGGGATTACAGGCATGTGCTGCCATGCCCGGCTAATTTTGTATTTTTAGTATAGATGTGGTTTCTCCATGTTGGTCAGGCTGGTCTCAAACTCCTGACCGCCTTGGCCTCCCAAAGTGCTGGGATTACAGGCATAAGCCACCAGGCCCGGCCAAAACATGTTTTTTTTTTTTTTGTAAATGTTCTTCTTCCTTTTAAGACATATTCTATCAATCAGATTAGTGTTTCAAAATCACTGAGATAATGGCTCTCTATTGCACTATGCAAACAACTTGCTACAGTTAAACTTGTATTTTACTCCATTTTTTAAGATTTACTCTTTTAATATATTTTGTTTTACAATTACGGAATGCATGTTCATGTGCCTAAAGTTAATTCCATAAAAGTCCACCTTTTTTTTTTTTTTTTTTTTTTTTGAGACAGAGGACAGAGTCTCGCTCTGTTGCCCAGGCTGGAATGCAGTGGTGCGATCTTGGCTCACTGCAACCTCTGCCTCTAGGGTTGAAACAATTCTCAGGCCTCAGCCTCCCGAGTAACTGGGATTACTGGCACATGCCATCGCACCTTGCTAATTTTTGTATTTTTTGTAGAGACGGAGTTTCACCATGTTGGCCAGGCCTGTCTCGAACTCTCTACCTCATGTGATCCTCCCACCTCGGCCTCTCAAAGTGCTGGGATTACCTTCATGAGCCACCATGCCCAGCCTTTTTTTGTTTGTTTGTTCTCTTTACGCTGCTTTTTATTTCCCTTTCTCTCTCTCTGTCTCACACACACACAATTCTATCTGAATTTTGATTTATCCTTTTATTTTGATTTGTTTGCAGATTTGTTTTTAAATAAAACACACACACATTTATACATGTATTATCTCATCCATCCATTTTTGAATAAATGGAAACACACTAGTAACAATAGTATCCATTTCACTTTATACTTTATTCCAGAAATTTGTTATGTATATAGCTTGTCTTCATTCTTTTCTAAACTCCAGAGTATTACATTGGGTGAATATACTATAGTTTATTCAATTAATCTTTATTAAAGGATTTTTGGATTTTATACAGTTCTTCACTATTGGTTTAAAGATGTTCTTTCTTAGTTTTATTCATTGTATGTTTAATTTCTTTGTATTTTTTGTTTTATTAATCTATTTGCCTGATCTATCATTTTTTTCTTATAGCTATGTTTGTTAACCCATAAATTTGTTTCGTTTTTATAATTACTTCCAAGACGTTCTAAAATTTCAGCCTATATTTTCCATTATACTGAATAGTCAATGAATAACTTGGTTACAATGTTTGTTATTTTAATGTCTTTTGATAAGCAGATATTTTTACATTTTTAATGATTTATCTATTTCATTATTTTAAATTGTATTATTTCTCTTTCTTTCTAGTAAACATTTGTTTAATCTCAAATCACAAAATAATTCTCTTATGTTTCCTCCCAAACTTTTTTTACTTTTCTGTTCAGGTATATTATCCAACCCAAGTTAATGGTGTGTATGATACAAGTCAATAATTAGGCACTTTTTTGTCTCCACATATATGGATATCCAGTTTTTCTGGGATCATTTGTTTAAAGACTTTCCTTTCCCACATTGAAAATATTTAATACTTTACTTTTAAAAACGTATTTTCCATTTTTTGAAAATCAAATGACCATGTAGGTATTAGTCTATTTCTGTGCTAGTGTGCGTGTGTGTGTCTGTGTGTGTGTTTATTTGTTGGTTCTTATGCCAGTACTGCTAGTGACAGGAGGCAGAAAAATTCCTAGGCAGACAGGGAGAAGTCCCCAGTGGAACTCAATCTTCAAGCCAAAGACAGTCTGAAGCCTGAACACCAAACTACCAGTTCCAGATAGAGTCCATAGACCAGAGTGAAAACTTCCTTTTATGTTCGGTGTGCTCAGCTCCTGATTGGTCCCTGGCCAAACCTTCACTTCAGCCCCTGATTTGTTCTTTACACTACCATACCTCTTTCTGAATGGTAACTTTTCCAAGCCTACCCATAAATCAATCAGCACTCATTTCCCCATTCTAAGTCCATAAAAACCCTGGGTTCAGTCTCGCAGCTGACAACTCACTTTCGGGTCCCCTCTCACTGCTGAGAGCTTTCTTTCTGTCTCTCAATAAAATTATACTCTGCCTTACTCACACTCTGGTGACCATGTAACTCATTCCTCTTGGTTGTGAGACGAACTTGGAACTTGCCGAAATGCGGGAATGAAAGAACAGTAACACTCCCTCCCACTTGCCGAACTATGAGGGGGAAGAGATTTCTTGGGGGCTCATCCGGGATCAGTGGAAGGCTGAGTAAGAGCGAACCTATGACTCTTTACTTTCAATTCCACTGCTTCTTGTCCTCAGATTTTTTTCTAAAACAGATAAAACTTCGAGCTTCTGTCAGCTAGTTAAGGGTGAATTGTATGGCTGCTGGTCTACAACACTCAGGGAACAGGCTTGCTGGGCAGAACTTCGTTAATAACCCTTCACCTTCAGGTGTTGGGAATGCTGGCATTGTTCCAATCTACTTTATCTTCATGGAAGTCTTACCATGCTGTGGGATCAGAATAAGGTCCTTAAGGTATCTTGCTGAGGCTACACCTTGGTGTTACCTGAAGGCTCCTGGACAAGCTCCGGTCCCCGAAAGTCCAATTGTGTGTTAGTCAAAGATTTCCAGTCTTTCCTATCATATTTTCTTTCAAGACTATCATGGCTGCTAACCCCTCCTTATATACAATGTTACCAGTGGTTTTGCTACCCCAAAGAGATAGTATTACTGGGCAGAATGAGTACTTGGCTTAGTCATCAGGAGTGTAACTCAGAACAATATGGTTTTTGTTTCTTTCTAGAAAAGAGGGGAATACAAAGATTTAAAGAGCTTTCTTTCCCCTGTTGAAGAAACCCACTGGTACAAAAAAGGAGGCTATTTTCCCCTAGACAACATTTCATTCTCTGCATTTTAGTTGTTTTTTCAACATGTCAGGAGTCAACACAGTCCAACAAACAGGAGAGTCAATCTATGCTCTATATATATATATATTTTTTTTTTCTTTTGGGTGCATTTTGTTAGGCTGGGCCCTCAGTCCTTGGGGCCCTCTCTCTGCCCTCTGCCTAAAGAGGATCTGGTCCCTCAGGTTCACACTAAAATTTCAGATTCTCTCAATAACTGCAAAATCCACTGGATAAATTGGAACTGATGGCAATTAGACTCTTCCCTTTGAGTGCTTAATCTGCCTTATTCCTGAAAACCTAAGTCCCTTGCCTGCTGGTCTTATTAAAATCAGCTTGTATGGGTCCTACTGCTTGCTCCATTTGTGAATGGAAAAATTCTGCTTGTAATAGGGAAGAAATGGTGCACGTGCCCTGCCAGTTGTTGGCTGCAATTTGGTGAGGGCCACTGGGGACTAATGTAATGGGTCCGTACACCCTCCTAAGGTACCTCTTTTGTCTTCAGTTAGAATCACTTCTTGACAGGAGAGGGGGACTATGTCTGGGAGTCCACCACTCCCATTTCCTCAGTGCTATGATCTGACCCTGTCCATCAACTGTCAGTTGAGGGATGTTTTGAAAGATTTAAGGATGCTCCCTCTGTTAGAGTTCTTTGACCAAATCCTATTACTTCAATGTGTTTTCCAAGCTTCAGTTTGGAGCCCTAGAAGGAAAACTAGATCTGAGGGATCCAGAGGCTGTCAACAGTGAAAGACTAGGGAACAGTGTGGGTAAGCATGATGATTCCTGCTAAGCAGGCATTCCTGCTTCATGGGTAGAGGCCATGCTTGCATCCATGGTATGACATGGATGCCATAAGCCTGTCCATGGTGTCAGTACCAGTCACTGAAATTCTGAAGATGCCTCAAATTCAAGATAATAAAGATGGGTAACAAACCGTCTGCAGCCAGAAATCCCCTGGAGTGCATCCTGAATCACTGGAACTCCTTTGACCCTCAGACTCTAAAGAAAAAATGTTTTACATTCTTTTGAAAATGGGCCTGGCTGGATTATAACTTGCAGGATGGGGAAAGTTGGCCTCTGGAGGGAAGTACCAATTTTACTACTGTCTTGCAACTGGACTTTTCTGTAGATGTGAAGGCAAATGGTCTGAGGTCCCATATGTGCAGGCTTTCCTTGGCCTTCAGTGTAATCTAGACCTTTGCTGATGTTGTAGGATTGATCCAGCACTCCTAGCAGTCATCTCAGGAGAGGCTGCAAAGGACAATCCTTTGGACTTTCTGGGACTGGAGCAGGTCCAGGAGCTTTCAGGTAACACCAAGGTGCAGCCTCAGCAAGATACCTTAAGGAACTTATTCTGATCCCATGGCATGGCAACTTCCATGAAGATAAACTAGATTGGAAAAAAGGCACTAGGGAAGCAGACTCCAGAGGTGTCTCCAGTGTGGGAGTGGGCTCCCTCTGGTCCTGCTCCTCCTGGTCCATCCTGTCATCCCTATCCAGGTCCTCTCTAAAGCTTGTCCTATCCCAGAAATCCTCATTTTAGGTGGGTCCCAGCCTCACTCATGCCTACCCATGGACCCATCAGATCACATTTCTCCATTATAAGACCATAAAAACCCCAGACTCATTCTTACAGCCACCAACCCACTTATGCTTCCCCTCTCACTGCTGCAAGCTTTCTTTCTGTTACTCAGTAAAATTCTACTCTGCCTTACTCACTTTCTAGTGTCTGTGTACCTCATTCCTCTCAGTCATGATGATAGTGACAGGAGAGAGACAAATTTCTAGGCAGACAGGAATGGGCCCCCAGTCAAACCCAACCTTGAAGCTGAAGAGAATCTAAAGCCTGAAAACTGAACTGGCAGCTCCAGATAGAGGCCACAACCAGAGGGAGAACTTCTATCCCATATTTCCCCCTCTTCCTTGATTGGTTCCTTATGGATGATGCCTTCTAACCAATCAGATGATACTTTTTCTAAGACCACCCATGGATCAATAAGCATGAACGCCTCAATCCTAAACCCATAAAAATCCCAGACTCAGCCTCACAGACAGCTACCTACTTTCAGAGCCTCTCTTGCAGCTGAGAGCTTTCCTTCTGTTGCTCAATAAAATTATTCTCTGCTTTACTCCCTGGTGTCTGCATACCTTATTTCTCTTGGTTGCAGGACAAGAATCCCGCCACTGAATGGCGGGAGCAAAAAGAACTGTAACACTCTTTACCACTTGCTGATCTATAGAAGTGAAAAAAGCCACCATGTGCCATACCCTCCCGTTTATCAAACTGCAGACAGCAGGAATAAAAAGACTTGTAACACCCTAGCTGAACTGCTAGAGTGAAAAAAGCCACTGGATGCCACTCCCTTCTGCCCACCAAACTATGAGAACAAAAAAGCTGCAACAGTGGGAAAAGAACTTGGAACTTCTCAAACTACAGAAGTGAAAGAGCCTTAACACTCCCTTCCACTTGCCAAACTATGGAAGTGAAGAAACTGCAATACTGTAACATTTCTTCCTGCTCGCCAAACTACAAACTACAAAAGTGAAGAAGCTGCAACATTTCCACTGTCTTGATTACTATAGCTTTACAGGAAGTCTTAGAGTTAAGTAGTGCACATCCTCCAATTTGTTGTTCCTTTTCAAGAACATGTTAACTATTCTACATAGTCTGTACGTTCATATCAGTTTGTCAATTTTTACAAAATATCTGCCAGGATTAGATTTGGAATTACATTGAATGTTTAAAACAATTTTGCCAAAATGGACAACCTTAATATACTGAGTTGACTGATTCATGAAAATCATATGTGGCTGCTCCATTTTTTTTCTTTAATGTCTGTCAAACATATTTCATAATTTGCAGTTTATAGGTTACCTACACATTTTATTAAATATATCTCTAAGGTGTTTTTGTTTTTCATGTTAATATTAATTAAATTGTTCATTTTTGTCTTTTTGTTTCCTTTTAGTATACAAAAATAAAATTTCTAAGTTATTATGTGGATTACTAGAGATTTTATATGTAAATAATGAAGTAATTGGTAAGTAGCTTTTTATTTATTTTCCTTACCTTACTGCAACAACCTTTGGTGCAATACTGAACAGAAGTGGTGAGATTAGGCATTCTTGACTTTTTCCACAATATATTTGGAAAGTCTTCAATATTTCACCATTGGATATGATTTCAGTTTTAGATTTACTTACATGCTGTTTATGTGGCTTAAACAATTTCTTTATATTCTTAGGATGCTGAGACTATTTGTGTTATTAACAGTGTAAATTTGAATCATGCCTTTTCTGCATCTATTGGAATGATCAAATGCTTTTCTATTTTGTTAATAACAAGAATTACATTGATTGATTTTAAAATTAATCAGACCTGAGCTAAACATAGGCTGCCATGATATGTGAACATTTTCTATATTGATGGATATGATTTACCAGTAATTTGTTAATGATTGTTAGTTTGTGTTTAAGGATGATATCATTGTTTACATTTTCTTTTTCTTTCCTTTTTTAGGGGGTAGTTTTATTATCATATTTTAGTATTAGGCATTAGCAAACAAGTGGGAAAATGTGTTTTTCTTCTCTATTTAAAAGATCATATAAAACTCTGATTATCTGTTTTTTGAGATTTTGATTATATTCACCAGTGAAATAATCTTACCTTGGAGGTGTCTTTATGAAATATATTTTATAACTAATAATTTAATTAGTAACTATAGGCTGTGAAGTTTTCTGTTTTACTTCATGCCATTTTTGGTAGTTGTACTTTTCAAGAAGTGTATTTATTTTATTTACATGTTCAAGTCTATCAAAACAAAGCTGTTATTAATATCCCCTTATTATTTATTTATGTATCATCTGTGATGATAGTCATGCTTTCAGTCAAAAATGCTGATTTGTGCTTTTTTGGTGTTTTTTAAATTTAATAGCTGAGCTAAAGCATTATCAATTTTGTGGGTATTTTTAAATGATCAACTTTGGCTTTATTAATACTCTGTTTTTGCCATTGATATCACTTCTGTATGACGGTC
The DNA here is from genome assembly GCF_000001405.40 of Homo sapiens. Classification (NCBI taxonomy): domain Eukaryota; kingdom Metazoa; phylum Chordata; class Mammalia; order Primates; family Hominidae; genus Homo; species Homo sapiens. Next base: position 83,729,917 of record NC_000003.12, read on the forward strand.
ATTCACCCAATTATTATTACTTCATTTCATTTGACTCTTTTTTTAGCTTCTTATTTTGGAACCATAATCACTTAGGCTTTTATTTTTCTCTTGTATAAAATGTACAGCTATAGATTTATCTCCAACTATTTTTGTGGCAGTGTCACACTGTTTTTTGCGTGTTACACTTTCTAGTACAAGATTTTTTTTGCTCTTTGTGTGCATGTGTGATTCTTCTTTGATCTTGAATCATTCATAAATGTATTCTTAAACATCCCAGAATATGTATTTTTAAATATAAGTTATTGACTACTAAGTATATTTTCTTGCAAAACTAGTTTTGTATAATATTAGAACTTTTAAATTATTTAACGTGTTTTAAGTACCATCAAATAGTATATATTGGTACATGTGACAAGTGCAGTTGAAAATAATTCATATTATGAAGTTGTTAAATTCAGTGTTCTATAGTACAATTAATTCAAGGTCATTGGGAGGAGTTTTTCAAGTCTATGTAATTGCTGATTTTTTTTTAGTTGCTTTTGTCAGTTTCTGAAAGATAAGTTTACTGTCACACATTCTGCTTATGATATATTCTACTTCTCTTTCTATGCCTATCAATTTACTTTTATGTATTTGAAAGCTCTTCTGTACATAAACATTTTCAATTTTTTATCTTCTGAATAATCTTTTATCATTATGAAATATTTCCATTTTTTTCTTTTCATATTTCTCATGATACCTACTTTTTTATAGGAATGTAGAAAACACAGCCTATTTATTCCTTTTATTCCTTTGACATGATGTTTTTTTCTATATAATTATCTTCAACATATCTATGTCTATTTATTTAAAATATATCATTTGTCAAAGTATTTTTCTCCACTTTGTAAGTAATGCATCATAAACATTAAAGATTAAATATCTTCCATTTAATTAGTGTGTTAAATTCATTAATATTTAATGCCAATATCAATTACTTTGGATAGAATCGTAGAATTTTAATTTATGTATATCATCTTTCTTATTATTTCTATGCCTCTTTTCTTACCTTCTTTGGGATTACTTGAATATTTTTAGATTTTTATTTTAGGTTCTCTAATAATTTTTTAGATGAATTTATTTGCATACATTTTTAGTGAGTATACTAGGGATTAAAATATAACTCCATCAATTTTCATAATCTACTAAGAATAACATTTTTATACCTGATAAAAAATATATAAATCTTATACATAATAATTCATCCCCTTCCAATCTTTCATACTCTAGATGTAAGATATTTGTGTGTGCATGTATATATTCTTATGAAATATATATATCACATACTTATGAGATATACATTAGACATTTACATATCTCATATATACTTATGAGATATTTACATATCTCATATATACTTATGAGATATTTACATATCTCATATATACTTATGAGATACATATATATATCATAAGTACATAAGTTTTAAGCTCCACAAGACATTTTTATTCTGCCTTTAAACAATATATACATACTCATAATATATATCATATACAATATATATCTTACATACTTATGAGACATATATATCTCATATACACTTAGGAGATATATATATCTCTCGTGTATATTTAGGAGATATATATATATATCTTACATATACTTAGGAGAGATATACATATATGTCATAAGTACATAAATTTTACGCTCCATAAGGCATTTTTATTCTGCCTTTAAACAATCAAATGTTGTTAAAATTATTAAGATAAAAATATATTGTTTTATTCACAAATTTACCTTTAATTTTATTTATTTTTTCAGATTAAAATGTTTCCATTTGATATTATTGTCCTTTATTTTAAGGACATTTACAGTAAAGGTTTTCTGATAAAAGATTACTTGTTTCTTTTATCTAAAAACATCTTTATCTCAATTTCATTTTTGAAAGATATTCATAGTGGATGTAGAAACTGATTTTTGTGGCACTTTAAGAATATATCATTCCACTGTCTTCAGACTTTCATTGTTTCTAATAAGAATCAATAATCATTCAAATTGATATTCTTCTAGACATAATGTGCTGTTTTTCTCTAGTTGCTTTTAATATTTATCTTGATTTTCTCTTTATCTTGGGTTTACAGTGGTTTGATGATAAGCCTCAGTGATTTTCATTTTCTTAGTTTAAACTCTTCAAGTGTTTTGTTAGGCTTATTGGATCTGTAAATTTGTATCTATCATTACATTTGTAAAAATTGCAGTCATTATTTCTTCAAATATTGTCTCCACTATATATATCCTATGTATTCTCACTATTTCAGACTCCAACTACATTTATGTTAGAATATGATATTGTTCCATATGCCCCTAAATAGCTTTATTTAATTTTTGATACTTTTTCTCTACTCTTGAATTTGCAAAAACAAACAAAACACAAAACAATTTATTAGTCAATGCTTATATAAATGAATATTAAATAATCTAATGTTATGTTAGATGGATTTTATTATGATGTGAATATCAAATTTTAGCAACAGAAATGATGACATTTATTAATAGTTTGGTATCATATCAGATAACTTCAATCTGCTTACTAATTTTATCCATTTATGTATTAATAACCTGGAACAGGGTTTGGCAAACTGTAGTTCATAAGCTTGCCATCTGTTTTTTAAAATAAGCTACTACAGCAATTTATTTATTTATATATTTCCTATGGCTGCTTTTGTGCTACAATGTCAGAATTAAGTCGTTGCAAAAGAGAGTATAAGGACCAGAAGCCTGAAATATTTACTATCGTGCCCTTACAAAAGAAGTTTGCCCACTCCTGACTTAAAACATAGGTGAAAACATATTTATGTGAAAATTTTAAGGACCCTCTCTTAGTACAGGAAACACAAACTATAAACCATCTTTTGAGATTAATTTGCTGATAATTCCTTATTAATATCTAATGAATATATGTTTTCTTTATGAGAAGCATTATATTTTTATCTGTCTTATAAGCAAAACATATTAAAAACTTTTTTCAGATATAAGCAAACTAATATAAAATGACAGTAATTAAGTGGTGGATTAGTTTCATGAAATTCATATATACTGGCTGTTGCTTAAGAAAGAAAAAATATGTTTAAAAAATTGACAAGAAGGCGAGAAATATACTAACACTTGGTATTTTGTCTATTTTCAGGGGTAATGCACCTTAAATACTAAAATGTTATTTTGTAATAAGGTAAATATATAATTTATATTGATAATAAAAATGTTTTCTTAAAAGCATGAGAAAAAGCTAATGACCATTAGTGATCCTATCATTAGAAAATAAAACTATGAAACGATTTTTTTTTGAGATAGAATCTCATTCTGTAGTCCAGGCTGGAGTGCAGTGGAATGATTTCGGCTCGCTGCAAGCTCCATCTCCTGGGTTGAAGCAATTCTCCTTCCTCAGCCTCCCAAGTAGCTGGGACTTCAGGCACCCACCATCATGCCCACCTAATTTTTGTATTTTTAGTAGAGATGGGGTTTCACCATGTTGGCCAGGCTGGTCTCAAACTACTGACCTTAGGTGATCCACCTGCCTTGGCATCCCAAAGTGCTGGGATTACAGGCATGAGCCACCGGGAAGAATTGTTTAAAACAAATGAAAGTTAGCAGACATAAGATACTTATAAATCAGAGTTCAAAAGGCATAATTAGAGTTTCAGGTAATAAATTCAATTATCACTTAAAGATCCTCAAGAATATTAAAACTATTAACAAATTTGACGGAGAAATCTTATGAATATATTACTTTTGATTATAGATTAAATCAATATGCCATTTTACAAGAATAAAAATAAAATTTTCTGAAACTATTCAGAGGTAACACAGAAAATAACAATTGAAAACGCTCACGTTTGGATCATTACATCAGGAAAAGATTTGAGAAAATATATAAACTCAGATCTATGCCTGACAGGTTCAATAGCAAAAACTTTATTACATCCACATGCAAATAGATTCTAGAACAAAGAATTTTGTACTGGAAACCCAATCTCTTCATTAAAACAGTGAATGGAAACTGATAAATGGAGACCCTATGGCAAGTGGCCAAAAGTCAATGAAAAAAAACTCTTAAGATTATAACAATGACTGATTGTGTATACATTTCTTTACTACTTGCTATATACAAGTCATATTTAAAGGATTTTCTATATGTCGAATGAAGACCATAAAAGCTAACATTTTTATGGTGCTTAATCTACTTCGGGCGCTATTCTAAGTACTTTCAAACATTAATTCATATAATTTTTTTTTTTTTTTTTTTTTTGAGACGGAGTCTCGCTCTGTCACCCAGGCTGGAGTGCAGTGGCGTGATCTCAGCTCACTGCAAGCTCCGCCTCCCGGGTTCACGCCATTCTCCTGCCTCAGCCTCCCGAGTAGCTGGGACTACAGGAGCCCGCCACCGCGCCCGGCTAATTTTTTGTATTTTTAGTAGAGACGGGGTTTCACCGTGTTAGCCAGGATGGTCTCGATCTCCTGACCTCGTGATCCGCCGCCTCGTGTTGGGATTACAGGCTTGAGCCACCGCGCCCGGCCTCATATGATCTTTACGACAATCTTATGTTGTCAAGCTTCACGTTTTGGCAATGTCTCTATTTGCCTAGACCCACATTGGGGTCCTAGAAACTGGTCCTCAACTACTGCCCTACACCTAAATCCAAATTTTGAAGTGATAAATATTTAATTTTGCAAAATTTTGGAATGTACAAGCCACCCTTATTTCTTATATGAACTGCAATTTTGGGAGTCCCCAAGAGCACTGTCCAGTGTAATAATTCACTAAGACTCACAGAACTCACTGAAAGCCATTGTAAACACAGTGACTATTTAAAATATACCATTAAAATCAGCCACAAACAGAGATGAATGGGGAAGAGTGCAGGAGGTTTCCAAATATGAAGCTCCCAGTAGTACTCTTCCAGTGACGTCATGGACAACACCAACTGCTCTCAGCAATGACGTGTAGCAATATGCACGGAACATGGCCAACACAGGAAGCTCACCTAAGCCTTCTTTTTTCCAGGGTTTTTTAAAATTAGGATTTGGTCTTGTAGAAATGGCTCACTACCCATGCAGCTGACCTTAGCCTCCAGCCCCTCCAGAGGTTAAGCTGATACCTTGCGGCTCAAAGGTTCCACTATAAATTATTGTTAGCATAGACTATTAGACATGACCCAATCCCCACAGGAAAACAAAGCCACTCTTATCAGGCAGGATATTCAAAGGACTTAAAGATTAACTCTCAGAAAAGAGGAGCAAAAGCCAGACGTCTCTTTTGGTGAGGTTAAAATTTTTTCCTACAGTAGTCCACAGATACTATGCATCTGTACTGGGCTTTAATTGATCGCATAATCATGTTAGGTAAACAGGAAAATACCTTTTCAGATTTTCTTAAATTAAATCTTAGTAATGCTAATGATAAATGCACAAAAATCGTATGTAGTTTCGCATTCCATCTTAACCAAATATGCCACCTTTTGAGTGTGGCAAAATTAAATTCTTTTCAAATTATTGTTATATGACTTCAAAAATGTCCTGCACAGTTTGCTGTGCCTAAATTATGAAAACTATCTCTGGAAAGAAAAATATACACCCGAAATGATTATTACAATTTGTTTTCCTCTCACTTTGTTTCCAAATGACTTGTAAGAAAGATATAACTTAACAATACAATAACAAGTAAGTATGCTGCAATTTCATGTCTTGGGAATCTACTATTTTTCTTAATTATGAATACAACTCTTATTAACAATATATTTGGAAGAGCTGCAGAGGACACATACAAATGCATCTGTATTGGGCTTTAATTGATTGCATAATTTATTTGATCCCTTACTTTGCAGTCACTACAAAGTAAAAGAATGACAAAGTAGGGTAAGTGTAGTGCAGAGTAGAAAAGCTGTCTTGGCACAATTGTCACTGTCTCATAGAATTATTTTTCCCTGACTTTACAAGTGAAAATTGAAACATGAGTATACCTTTAACTAAGCTTAGTATGCCAGGATAAACATGGTAAACTATGTACTGGTGAACAAATATGTCTATTTGTATTATTATATGAATGTCTTTAAATCAAATATCTTTCTTGTTTTAAATACTGTGCAGAGTGTGGTAATGCGAAATTTCCTTTCAATATCTGTAGTATAGCTCTTAGGAAATGGTAGCTGGTAACGTTCTGACTTCCAGCCTTAATAACTACTTTTATTGAAAATAAAATGCATCATTTCGACATTCATTTTCAATTTCATCTGCCAAATGGAATGTTATCATTTATAAGATCAATAGAATGATCTGATCAAACACAAATTCGATGATATTCTCTTTCTTTCACGCTAAAATTTAAACCTACAATAGCACATAATACATAATTCAAAGGTATTCGATTTTTGCAGCATTTTCTACAGTACACAAGAAAATTCTTTTTGAAAGCCACTAAAATCCAACTAATTGGATATTTTATTTAATCCTACCTGCATTAAGGTTATATTTATCATGTTATTGAACAACTTTCTCATTTTGTGTTAACAAATTCACAGTAAAGAACTCATACTTTATTGATATTAACTATTTTGTTCACTGAACCTCTATTGAAAATATATTTATTTTTCAGAGATGTCTCATATAGATAATTTCAGAGAACCAAATATTACGTAGAGGTCTTTGTCTACACATGTGTAATATTTGGATGCCTTAGCCAATATCAAAATCATGTACAAACACTAATTTTAGAATAAAATTAAGGTATATGTTTTCAACTTTTAAATTATGATAAACCTAATATTATATTATTTTATTATAACATGGCATTATATATTATTCATTCACATTCTTATATTTATTAGTGTATATATTCTCCAGTAGTAATTTATGTTTGTTGATTTGTTGTCTATTGTAATATTAAAATAAGAAAACCTTTTATCTTTACAGCTGAATTATTGTTTTTAATTTTTTTATTGTGGTAAAATACATATAACATAAATTTTCCATTTTAAACATTGTAAGCATACAATCCAGTGGCATTGATTACATTTACAATGTCATATATCCATTGCTTGTATTTTCCAAAATTATACCTCATCCAAAACAGAGATTCTCTACCCGCAAACAGTGTCTCCTCATGTCTTTGTACGATTACGTTTTATTTTAAGGATTTGTTTATAACTCAATTTTGTTTAATGGTTAATTACTGTATGCATAAATAAGAAAACTTTTAGCTAAACTGTGAGCCTGCAATTTCTGATTATTAAACTATAAAAATATATTTTACAAACTGTTGAAAATATATCTCAAACACACTGTGGTATTGTGGGCAGGGAAGGGGAAGGATATCTTCAGCTCCTGGTAAAAATTGATCACACAAATGGCATTGAAGAAATATATTTTGAATTAAATTCATTTAGATATATGCTATAAGACTGCAATAAACAGATATCCAAGAACTTTCTCAGGCTTCTAGAAAGTGTTAAACATTTCTCGTGATAACTATTCCAATAAGCATCCAATAATAGAATCAAAGACTTTGTCACCACCTATTAGTTTTCTTTCCTTTTTACAACACTCATTCTGCCCACACTTATCAAAGAACAACTATCAGATATGCATATCTGGCAGTACTTTCTTAAGCTCTCTACTTTTAACTTAGTGAATCCAAAATACAGGCCAAAGCTACATACGAACCGCACATTGATGCTGCTAATTGTGTCTTGCCACAAATATCAGAAAAGTGCTTAGTTCTAAAACCATGAGAAGAAAATGGATTTAATCAGAGACAACATGTTTGCTCCCTGAAAGATTTTTATTTTTATTTTTTCGATGAAGAAGAAACAAATGTATTTGTTTATAACAAACTCTATACAGGCAAAATTGGGCCAACTTCAATACCATGGAATACCCTTGTTCTCAATAAATAATCACTGGCTAACACAGCAGGAGAAAATACTTTATTTTCTAATTCCTAAGTCTAATTTATATTCATCTTAAAATATATTAATTTATTTGTACTATAGTTTTCTACAAATATGGCTACTCAATATAGTTAAACAGATAGAAGTATTTTTGTTTTTCCAGAAGACCAATAGAATTCTAGTTTGTTCTAATGTTTATTTAAAAATGTTTTCATGCCACATTCCATACATTAATCTTTTAAAAAGTACAAAGATTTATGTTTGAAGTGTACAACCAATAATCCTTCATTTTCTTTCATAAATGTAAGAACTTTAATGAAATTACCTACATCTGATATACTTTGATTTGATTTTTTAAAATTATAATTTAATTTAAAATCACATTATAGTCTAGTACTCAGCAGAATCCTCCTACCTGTCTCTGTGCTTTGACATATAGAAAAATGCTCTATATTATAACTCAAATCAATGTGCCTGTATCTGAGCCCATTTGTCCTCCAAACCAAATTTGATAGTGCTTGTGTTTCTTCCCTCAGCCTGTCGAAAGGAGCGATTATTTGCAGCAACTACCCCATTGCCTAACACGGAAGCTTATGTTTCATGATTCACTGACCCATTTCCTTTTTTCACTGCAATACCTAACAAACCACATGCGGATTCTATCTTCTAAAATGCCCTATTTTTCTCCTAGCACTTGCCACTAATTTGGTCATGTCATTAATTTCTCTTTGAACTGCTGCAAGTTATCACTGTTTTCTTCATTTCCCAAACTTTAGAAAAATCATGTGATTGCCCTTCCTTAATAAATATTTAAATTAATATTTAGCCATGTCATTGTTATCAAAGTACCATGTGTCTCTTATTTTTTCCATAGACATATTATTTAATCTAAAATTTATTACAAAGCACTGTGATTACATATTTCTTTTCTTTGTTTAAGTGTTTAAGGACACTATGCCTTAAAATAGATCACCTTTTTAAGACAAATGGCTTCTAAAGTATCCTGGATATTTTTCTGTGCCTGGAAATGAAAAAATAGCTTTGGTGGGCTGGGCGCTGTGGCTGATGCCTGTAATCCCAGCACTTTGGGAGGCCAAGACAAGTGGATCACCTGAGGTCAGGCGTTCGAGACCAGCCTGGTCAACATGGTGAAACCCTGTCTCTATTAAAAAATACAAAAATTAGCCGGGCGTGGTGGTGTGCACCTGTAGTCCCAGCTATTCAGGAGGCTGAGGTGGGAGAATCACTTGAGCCCTGGAGGTGGAGGTTGAAGTGAGCTGAGATCACACCACTGCACTCCAGCCTGGGTGACAGACGGAGAGTCCATCTCAAAATATATATACATATACATATACATATACATATACATATACATATATATGTATATATATAATATATATATAACTATATATAAATATATGTAAATATATAACTAGGTAAATATATATATAACTATATGTAACTATATAAAACTATATATATAACTATATATAACTATATATATTACTATATATATAAATATAACTATATATAGTTATATACATATATATGGTAAAGAAAAAGAAAATGTGTACTTCTATCTTTACCACTTACCAGCCTACCAGAGGGGTAATATTGACCAAGTAACTAGACTACTCTGTACCTCAACTTTCTCATTTGTAAAATGGATATAATAATGAAATATATCAGGCAGGGTTGTTGTGAAGATTACATAATTTAATATGTTAAAGCACACAGAATAGTGCAGAACGCTCATAAGCACTTTGTAAATTTTAACCATTATTTCATAAGTAGCTTATGAAGACAAGGAATATTTCTTAATTATTATTTTTATTTCTAACTGGGGCAGTAATTCTCGTAGGGCTTATGCTCCATTAATGTATTAGTTAACAGATACATCCTCAACTAAGTTAATTAATGTTTTAATAAATTCAAGGAAAGTGATTATTAAATAAAACAATAGATGTTACTCTCCCACCCAAAAAGTTGGAGAATATGATATAATTCTAAAATGCAGAATTATTATCCAAAAAATTGTATAGTCTTAATGTGAGTAATGATTATATGCTATAAATATATTAAATAGAATGTTTTTATCTTCTATTAATTCCATAATATTGTTTAGAAATTATACATAAGCACTTTAATTTCTATTATTTTTATATTTGGTTGCATTTTTACTCGAGATAACCAAGCTACCATGCTATTTTGTATCCACAGGCATTATGTTTCCAGGCATACAGATTTCTATCAATTAACATTAAAATAATAATTAGTATGGAATTCTTTCTCATTCTTTATTTTAGAAAGCATAATCCTATATTACTCTGAGATCATTATGGGCCTTACACATAATTAAGCTACATATATTCATGGTACAATTTCAGCACTGCTCACAATGTCCTTCTACAAGTCAGAACCCCACTATGAAATTATAAGGCAAATGTGGCCTAATGCGTGAGAAGTGCAATATTATATTATTAGTCTTTGTAAATTTATTTTATTAGACTCTTCTCAAAACACTACCTTGAAGCATTTTCTCTAAATGAATGGCAGTTTTTATTATAGAAAAATGAACAAGAAGTAGATATTTTGGAATATGAGGCAGTCTCTTGAAAAGTCTAGATCTAAACAATAAAGTTTCAGGCAGCCAAATAGCAGCAGGGGATCCCTGGAAATTTTACACAGTAAAATTTAACAATTTCTAGTTACAGACTTATTTACCTTTTTCATGAGAGTGATTGATAAATAAGACATAAGAAGTAATCTTGTGCAAGCCTTCTCTTTGCCATCCCAATACTGTGCTTGGCTAATCTCTGTTCACCTATAAGATGTCACCCTGGGGAAGCTGTCATCCTGGATTCTCTGTCCTACTCTGTGGTACACTGCTTAGTTGGGGTAAAACAATCTTACATTCTCTGATAAGATTCTAAATATACTTTCCATAGAGACCAGGCCAAGAACTATAATTAGCAATAACCAAAAGGTTGCAATCATTACTATTCTTCTATTATATCAGGGTAAATAGTATTTTTGAACTAGCCTCGACCACTAATCTCCACTGATAATATCCTTTCTTAGAATAAGAAAATCTGCATTCCAAAGTGCTAAATTTCTTCACCTGAAACTTTTAGAACATACTAGAAATGTACATTGTGGATATTCCCAAAATTATATCCAACAATTAAAACTCTGTATCATGATTCTGGCCACGATGCAATGAACTGTTTATTAGCTCCTACTGCACTGAATTCAGTGGCTGAAAAAAATTACTGAGCCTGAGTGTTTATAGCTATTTTTAATGTCTTATTAGTCCTTATTCTTTTAGAAATACAAAGACCAGGCCCAGTGACTCACATCAGTAATCCCAGCACTTTGGGAAGCTGAGGCAGGAAAATCACTCGAGCCTAGGAGTTTGAGACGAGACACGCAACATATTATGGCCTCATCTCTACAAACACTAAAAAATTAGCTAGGCGTGGTGGTTCATATGTGTATTCTCAGCTGTTAGGGAGGCTGAGGCTGGAGGGTTATTTGAGTCCAGGAGTTGGAAGCTGCAGTGAGCCATAACCATGCCACTGTACTCCAGCCTGGGCAACAAAGTAAAACTGTCTCTCCAAAAAAAGAGAAGAAATAAAAAAGAGAAAGAAGAAAAAAGAAAAAGGGAGGAAGGGAGGGAGGGAGGGAAGGAAGGAAGGAAGGAAGAAAGGAAGGAAGGAAGAAAGGAAGGAAGGAAGGAAGAAAGGAAGGAAGGAAGGAAAGGAGGGAGGGAGGGAAAAATTAAAAATACAGAAAAAGTGAAATACATAAAATTTATTTGTATGAGTATTGGCTAAATTCTTGAAAAAGGGGAATTTAAAATATTAAAACAGATTAGATTTTTAAAAATTATGGCTAGATTTAATTTACCAAGAATATCATTGCCAACAAATAACATACATTATTTAATTCTAAATACTGGGTGGTGGTGAGAAGGCAATTAATCAATACATAAATCAATAATGAATGAAGAAAATAGTATTTTAGTGTTCAGCAAATATATCATGTAAAACTTAAAAGCACTATTACAACAATTTGGCAGGAAAATTCACTTATTAAAGACATTCACTAAAGTTCTTCCCTTCATCTAAGAATCACGCTGCAATCACTTTACCATGGCTGGTTTTGAACTTTCATTAACTGTGAAAAAAAGCAGCATATAGGGATTATTGGTCAGAGCTTTTCACAGTTATTTCCACATCACGAACTTCTCATCAATCAAGAAATTGCCATCTTTTCCATAGAGTATATTGAAGTTCATATTGTCTAAATGTCAGTGAGAAAAAGACTTAATTCTCCTTGTGATGACGATCATGTACTTTCACTCTTGCTCCATAATTTTCAGCCTTTATGGCACTTTCATTCTGGAAACGTGTGCACACATGAAGCAGCAGGAGAGGACTGAAATGGCAGAGGCTTTCTTATAATCCAGAGATATGAGAATCCCCAATGTGCTGTGAGCAGTATCTGAATGAAACAAACTCCAGCAATTAATTCATGGGATAATTTTAAAAGTTGTCTTGGATTGTCCTGATAGTTTCTATGTAAATAATTCAACTTTGGAAGTTAAGAACATTTCTAAGCATCTCTGTATTCAAAAGATGATTGTATTATCTGTAGTATATTTCTTGCTTTATGAGTTTTTACTAATAATAAACCCAAATATCCTTGTCATTTAACCAATATGTTATATCTCTGAGACTTTTATACTAATTCTAGAATAATGGAAACTATGTTTGTATTTTGTCATTGAATTTCCTTGGGCTCATTGATTTTTTTAAGTAAAATGCAAGGATTTTTATGTATTTTGTATCCTGCATCTACTCTTTAAAAATTGAAGTATTCATGTATATATCCTTTTTGTAATATATCACAGGAAACTTTATGCCATCCAATAATTTTCAGAAAGATTTATTTGGCTAATTACCTAATTACTATAAATCCTACTTTAAAAATTTCACAGGCCTGTGCAAATCCATACTGATAACTTTATTAAAAATAAAGCCTGTACATGAATGTATGTATGTATATATAAATATACTTGCACGTACTTAAAATTTAGAACTTAATCTATTTTAGGAGCTAATCCATAATTTAATACATTTATATGCATATGGAAAGTAGGAGAAGGTGTTTCTTCATGATATTTAGTGCAAGAGCACAATGTGTTGTGTTTGTTTAGCACCTGCTGTGCCGCCACATGCCAATTCACACTCTCCTCATCACCCTCACTTGTACAAACAGCAAAAAGAAGGGACATTGAGTAGGATGATTTTATTTGGAATGAATATATCTCCTTATGTTAAAGTATGTAACAGCACTTTAGGTCACTTACAAACTCTGCTCATTTTCAAGGTCTAGTTCATCTCTCACTTTTTTTTTTAATGGAGAATTCCCAGATACTGATAATCCCCACCGAAGTTTCCTTTCATAGAAGTGTAATGCTTTTAAGAATTAGTAAGTTCCCCAAATGTGTCCTTCCTTAATTGACCTTCAGCATCTTCTTTGATTGTTTAGTTCTAAAATCTTGACTGTTTTGTGTGGCTCCATATCCCCATATCTGTTCTTTTTACCTGATATTTCGAAGATGGTATTCAAGCAATTTTTAGTATTTCATATGTATATGGAAAGGGACAATGACTGAGTGGAATATTTCCAGATAAGGAGATCTGGCTGTAGAAAAACATGAAGAAGATTTGAGAAACTTATCATATTTAATTGAAAAAAGATTTAGAGGGTAATTTGATCACTGCACTGATGCCATTCAAAATGTTCTTCATAGATAAGAGGGTACATATATTCTGTGTTGCTTCAGAGAGTCATACATGAATAATTGAAATCAATATACAATTACATTTTTGAGGAAGGAGAATGTAGCCTATTATCTAAGTACCAATTAGATCAGTGGATAGCTTTGAAATTGAACAGAGAATAAATAAGGAAACATATCAGGAAGGCATAAGGACCAGAGGCATGAGAAACGATATTCATTAGTCAATTAAGGAGTCAATTTATTAATATTCCAGAAATCAAGGGCCAATAACACAAAGATGTATTACTTTTCTCCTCCCTCCAATTACTACTGTGCTGTTCTCAGCCAAGCTGAGTATCTTCCCTACAGGTCTCCTGTCTGAATGAGACTTAGGAGCCCAGTGGAGAACAATGGGAAATCTACTGAGTTCTGTCATTAACAAGGCAAATGGTCCCTCAGTTGCTTCCCTTGTTCACTGTGGCTGAAAAACCAAGTTTACATGTTAAGTCATAGTTGCTGGATTTTTACAATTTATTTCTTAACTCCACAGGGAATGTAATAGTCAGTGTTCCTGAAAACACCTGTTTTAAGGTAAAACTCTAAATGGCTAATTTAGAAGAAATAATAAAATATGCTAAATATAAAAACACAATGATAGAAAGGAAGGAAGAATCAATATTTGAGAGAGAATCAGGAACATTTGAATTATGGTTGAATATAGGAGAAAGTAAAAGGAAGTTGTAAATTTTGTTCTTTCACATTTATTCTTCAATACAGGCTATATTACAGGAGAAAAATATTTGGTGAGATGATAAACTGAGTATGGAATATATTCAATTTTACATGTCTGTGGGAACTTTGGTTAGGAGATAGAACAAGTAGCTGTGTATATAGATCATGATATGAATAGGAAGTTCTAGACTTTTAATCAACAATAATTGGAGAGTGAGTACAGAGGAGATTGTACATATGAATAATTGGTATGAATGAGATAATTCAGAATAATTATACTGAAGGAGAAGGAAAAACTACTGAGAATATTTGCTTTTAACATTAGACATTTAAACTTTTGGCAGAGAAAGAGAATCAGTCATGCAAGAATAAAAATAATGATTAAAGAAAGCAACAAACAAGTCAATTGTCTAAGTATTACAATTTAGAGATATTTCAAGAAGGAGAAAATGAAGAAAACTATTTAACAATTGAGAGATAGTAAATAAGATGAAATGTGAAAAATGACTCCCAGGTTTTAGCAATGAAGATATCATTATTGCTTTGTTTGAACTATAATCCTGTGGAAAAGACAATTTATTAATGGGTATGGCTTTTAATCATTGTTCTATGCACATGTTTATTTTTATTTATATATTTTTAAAATTTTTATTTTAGGTTTGGGGGTACATGTGAAGATTTGTTACATAAATAAACATGTGTCACAGGAGTTTGTTACCAGTTACATAATATTACATCACCCAGGTATTAATCTCACTACTCCATAATTATCTTTTCCACTCCTCTCCCTCTCCCCAACCTCCCTCCTGAAATAAACCCCAGTGTCTATTATTTCCTTCCTTGTCATTCAGCATCTACTTATAAGTAAGAACTTGTGGTATTTGGTTTTCTGTTGCTGTGCTAATTTGCGATATGGGTTGGCTGTGTCCCCACTCAAATCTCATATTGAATTGTAACTCCCATAATCCCCACATGTCATGGGAGGAACCCAGTGGAAGGTAATTGAATTATGGGAGTGAGTTTTCCCCATCCTGCTCCCGTGATAGTGAATTAGTCTCACAATATCTGATGGTTTTATAAAGATGAGTTCACTTGCCTGCTGCCATGTAAGATGTGCCATTGCTCCTCCTTCACTTTTTAACATGACTGTGAGGCCTCCTCAGCCATGTGGAACTGTGAGTCCATTAAACCTCTTTTTCTTTATAAATTGCCCAGTCTCATGTATTTCTTCATATCAGTATGAAAATGTACTAATACAGTGTGCTAAGGATGATAGCCTCCAACTCCATCCATGTTCCCACAAAAGACATGTCTTGTTCTATTTTATGTCTGTGTAATATTCAGAATTACTTATTGTGTATCATAAATGCCTTACCTAACTTTTGTTTAGAAACTATAGTTAATTTTTACATATATAACTATTCGTAAGTAATGTTTTTAAAGAGAGAATATTAATAAGAATGAGGAATACCTCTGTTATTTTTTAGCTCAATATTATAGTGTTTTAAATTTTCCACTATTAGAAATAATACTACAATGTACAAGTCTACATATAAATTCTTCTGTATGTCCTATATCTTGATAATAATGTTCCAGAACTGGATTAAGAGAATAAACAAAATTTTGAATTAGCAGTATAAATTATATAACACAACAAGGGCCCCAATGATATTTTGCTAAAATAATTTTCTAGTATCCAATACTGATTTATAGTTCTGTCAATGAATTAATGGCATTCTTATTAGCATTGATAATTTTTTAAAACATTATATCTTAATAGTTTATAGAATATGAAGAGATATAATAAAGACAAAACAGAATATTTGAAATAAAGGCAAAAATTAATCACAATAATGTGTTAATCTACAAAGGTAAAAAAAAGACAGAGATTTGGGAGGGGAATGGGAAATTAACAACTGCTAGTTGCATAACAATAATAAAATTATGACCTAGTCATAAATTTTAAATAAAATTTAAAAATATATTATAATGTAAATGGAAGAATAATAAATTGATGAATTTAAATTCTTTTCTAAAAATTCTCTTCTAAACTTCCCAATTTTCAAATATATTACAGTGTATTAAATTAAAGTTCATTAATCCACAAAATACAGAAAGCTAGAAAACAAAGAACAATTAAAGTTCATTAGTCCATAAAATACAGAAAGCTAGAAAACAATATTTTCCATAAGATAAACAGATTCATGATGACTGAGAAGGAGAAAGTACTTCAAACTTGGATTGCTGAACGTTTTATAAAAAAGGTAAATCTTGACAAGACTTTCAAAATTTCATACAACTTTTTTACTTAAAAACATTAAAGATTGAGAATCTTTCATTTTGTTTCAAAACTATGAATTTTAGTATACCAATAGGATAGCTCAAATGTTTACTTTAGAGAGGCATGTGAATGTAGATGTTAGTAGCACAGATTCTGAAGTGACACTCCCTCTCTTCATATCTAGCTCAGCTAACCTCTAGCTCTGTGACCTTAGACAAGTTATTGAAGTCATCTTTTATTTTGCTTTCTCTTGCATAAATTGGAGAATATAATTGTATCTGCCTCTGAATTTTTATGAGGATTAAAACTTTAACATGCACAAATGGTTCAGAATGATGCCTGACACATGTTATCTGTTATATATAGTCTGCCATTATTATTATTATTACTGTCATCATTATTACTGCAAATAAATCTTAGTGAAAATAAAATTTAAAACATATTATAATGTAAATGGAAGAATAATAAATTGATGAATTTAAATTCTCTTCTAAAGGTAAAGGGGAGGCATTTGAATATTTTCAATAGAGATATGACCATAAAAATATTTGTTTGATATTGATTCTTCCTACCCATGAGCATGGAGTGTTCTTCCATTTGTTTGTATCCTCTTTTATTTCCCTGAGCAGTGGTTTGTAGTTCTCCTTGAAGAGGTCCTTCACATCCCTTGTAAGTTGGATTCCTAGGTATTTTATTCTCTTTGAAGCAATTGTGAATGGGAGTTCACTCATGATTTGGCTCTCTGTTTGTCTGTTATTGGTGTATAAGAATGCTTGCGATTTTTGCACATCGATTTTGTATCCTGAGACTTTGCTGAAGTTGCCTATCAGCTTAAGGAGATTTTGGGCTGAGACGATGGGGTTTTCTAGATATAAAATCATGTCACCTGCAAACAGGGACAATTTGACTTCCTCTTTTCCTAATTGAATATGCTTTATTTCCTTCTCTTGCCTGATTGCCCTGGCCAGAACTTCCAACAGTATGTTGAATAGGAGTGGTGAGAGAGGGCATCCCGTGAAAATGGCCATACTGCCCAACGTAATTTATAGATTCAATGCCATCCCCATCAAGCTACCAATGACTTTCTTCACAGAATTGGAAAAAACTACTTTAAAGTTCATATGGAACCAAAAAAGAGCCCGCATCACCAAGTCAATCTTAAGTGAAAAGAACAAAGCTGGAGGCATCACGCTACCCGACTTCAAACTATGCTACAAGGCTACAGTAACCAAAACAGCATGGTACTGGTACCAAAACAGAGATATAGACCAATGGAACAGAACAGAGCCCTCAGAAATAATGCCGCATATCTACAACTATCTGATCTTTGACAAACCTGAGAAAAACAAGCAATGGGGAAAGGATTCCCTATTTAATAAATGGTGCTGGGAAAACTGGCTAGCCATATGTAGATAGCTGAAACTGGATCCCTTCCTTACACCTTATACAAAAATTAATTCAAGGTGGATTAAAGACTGAAATGTTAGTCCTAAAACCATAAAAACCCTAGAAGAAAACCTAAGCAATACCATTCAGGACATAGGCATAGGCAAGGACTTCATGTCAAAAACACCAAAAGCAATGACAACAAAAGCCAAAATTGACAAATGGGATCTAATTAAACTAAAGAGTTTCTGCACAGCAAAAAACTACAGAATGGGAGAAAATTTTTGCAATCTACTCATCTGAAAAGGGCTAAAATCCAGAATCTACAAAGAACTCAAACAAATTTACAAGAAAAAAAACAAACAACCCCATCAACAAGTGGGTGAAGAATATAAACAGACACTTCTCAAAAGAAGACATTTATGCAGCCAATAGACACATGACAAAATGCTCATCATCACTGGCCATCAGAGAAATGCAAATCAAAACCACAATCAGATACCATCCAACACCAGTTAGAATGGTGATCATTAAAAAGTCAGGAAACAACACGTGCTGGAGAGGATGTGGAGAAATAGGAACACTTTTACACTGTTGGTGGGACTGTAAACTAGTTCAACCATTGTGGAAGTCAGTGTGGCTATTCCTCAGGGATCTAGAACTAGAAATACCATTTGACCCAGCCATCCTATTACTGGGTATATACCCAAAGGATTATAAATCATGCTGCTATAAAGACACATGCACACTTATGCTTATTGCAGCACTATTCACAATAGCAAAGACTTGGAACCAAGCCAAATGTCCAACAATGATAGACTGGATTAAGAAAATGTGGCACATATACACCATGGAATACTATGCAGCCATAAAAAATGATGAGCTCATGTCCTTTGTAGGGACATGGATGAAGCTGGAAACCAACATTCTCAGCAAACTATCGCAAGGACACATAACCAAACACCACATGTTCTCACTCATAGGTGGGAATTGAACAATGAGAACACATGGACACAGGAAGAGGAACATCACACACCGGGGACTGTTGTGGGGTGGGAGGAAGGGGGAGGGATAGCATTAGGAGATATACCTAATGCTAAGTGATGAGTTAATGGGTGCAGCACACCAACATGGCACATGTATACATATGTAATAAACCTGCACGTTGTGTGCATGTACCCTAAAACTTAAAGTATAATAATAATAATAATAATTTGTCTGATTTTTAGCAAAATGAATTTGACAATAGTAAACAAAATAGTTTAGCAATAAATCAGTTAAGAGTTAATGAAGAAATAGGTAGGGATAGCAAACATGGGAAAAAGCAAGGCAAAGACAGCAATATCATTCTCACTCATTTTTCCTAGCATGTGCATTGAGCACAAACTACACAGCAGATATTATATATGCAAAGAGATATCATCTCAGACTCTGTTCTTTTAGAAAAATAAGCATCTAAATGTCCATTGAGACATCAGATCACAGGCTACAAAACAGATGAAACCAATACACCTGCTGTTTAAAATGTCAAAGCTCAAATACTTTAATATTTTATAAACTCTGTTGTTTCCAAGACGTAATACATGAAAACGTCATTCACCAATTCTATGCTTATCTGTATAGCAGCACTTAGCAATCACATTAATGCCCTTGGGATAGTCTCCCTTCTTTATCTCTTAAAATTGATTCTCTCTTCATGACATTTGCACCCTTTTTTGTTATAGAATATGGCTTTTAAAGGAGCCTTCAGCCTTCCTGAAACTTGATACCTAGGGGATATATTTTAATTAAGTTTCAATGCATTTAGCACTTCAGAGTTTATGAAAAAGTTGAGCACAGTAAGACCATAATGAAATACAAATTTCTTTAATGTTAGCTCCTGAGTTAGGGAAAAAAAAAAGTGTTTATATCAGTAACCTTCACATTGCCATCAATATCGACGTAGAAGCTAAATAGTCTTTGGTCTGCCCTTGTAGTTCTCATCTTTATTATTTCACAGTGAATATGCAGCATATAAAAGCTATTTTGCAAGAGAGAAAAACTAAAACATACACAGCTTCTCTTTTCTGGTAGACTGCGCATTGTTAAAAACCAAAATGACCTACTAATTAGGTCAAATATAAAATTAACCTATTAAAAATACTATTTACCCCAATTATCACAAGTAAACAAAAAAGCAAGCTGATTTATTATTACATTTTGATTTAATTACTCCTGTTGTTAAACTGGCTCTTTTGATTTAAGTAAATATAAGTTAATGTAATTAAAGAATTAATGTAATCTTATGAAAATTAATCTATTTGTTAAATAAAAGAAAAAAAATGTGGTAATTGAACCTAAGACTACTCTAAAAAGTGAAGTCTATTAAAAATATTAACGCGTTGGTAAGTTTCTTTGATGTTCTTCTTGTCTCATATACTCCACATAGAGCTGAAGCATCCAGTTATCTGGAAATGTCAAGTGACACAGAGAAAAAAAAATCCCCAACAAAAGTGGCAAAAAGGGGCAGTTTAGCAATAAAAAAAAAAAAAAAAAAACTGTTAGATGATAAACAATCTACTCCAACAGAACACCATAAAGCCAGTTGCACCACCACCACCCATGCCAGGAAAGTGAAATGGGTAGCTGAGACCCCCTCCCTCATGACGGTATAATGAGGTATCTTATAGACCCACCAGAGTGGTGTCAGAGAAGGCTTGTTGAATATTCTGGTATTTTACTATCACATAGAGATAACTAGGACACCCTCAACGTGGAGATTCAATGGGAAGACAAAATTCCTACACTTGCCAAGCAGCAATCAGGAGCTCCACCACCTTGTGTGTCAATTAGAGGCCAAGCAGTGAGCCTAGACTTTTATGTCCAGCTGGACTGTCAAGATGGTGTTCCTCTTTGCTCTTCTAAAGTGGCATTGGAAAAAGCCAGCTAAAACAGAAAGCTTAGTTAGGATTCAGTCTTATAGCATAATGCCTAAAATCAGGTTTTTAAAAATCTTCTAAAATTAACATTATTTAAGCGGACAAATCATAGTTATATACATTTATAGGATAAATTGTGATCTTTTGATACATGTATACAATGTGGACTGATTAAATCAAGTTAATTAGCATATCCAACCAGGTCTTGATAAAAAATGAAGTATCATGTCAAAAACTAGGAAAATCTCAAACTGAATGCAAAAAGACAATAGATGGCATAACTAATATGGGAGAAATGCTAGAATAATCTGGCAATAATTTTAAAGCAGATAATGATTGAAAAATGACTAAATAATTTTAAAGCAGATTATGATTAAAAAATGCTTCCATAACTATAGCTTTTTGCAAGAAATGTGAAAATAGAAAGCCACAGCAGAAAAATAAAAGATATAAAGAAGAACCAAATGGATATTTTAGAACTGAAAAATATAATAATCAATATAAAAAGTTCAGTGGATGGAAAGAGGAAAAATTGATAAACTGAAGAATAGAAAAATAAAAATTAACTAATGCAAATACTAGAGAAAAAATAGACTAAAAAATAAATAGAGACTTAGGAACTTGTAAGAGGATAACAAAAGATCTAACATTCATGCCAGTGGAATTACAGAAGGAGGAAAACATGAGAGAGCTGAAGAAGTATTTGAAGAAATTAGGAATTAAAACGTTCCAATTTTGTCCAGAGATATAAAGCTACAGATTTATCATAAATAAAGCAGTGTGTTATTCTTAGTGAATGGAACTGAGGCTTACTCGGGATACAGACTTGCATTTCCTGCATGCAATGCTTCTGCAAAAGTTATCATCAATGGGCTTACAGAATGCTTATCTCCCATTATGGTATGCCAAACAGCATTGCTTCTGATCAAGACATTTACTGCACAGGAAATAAAGTCTTGTAATGAGCCCATTCTCATAAAATTCAATTGTCTTATCATGTGCTCCACTATTCTAAGGTAGCTGACTTTATAGAGTAAGAAAAGAGCTTTTTGAAGACTCAGTTACAATGCCAGCTAGGTTAGAATACCTTGTAGGGCTCAGGCAAGGCTCTCCAGGAGATTTTATGGTCTTTGAATCAGCATCCAAAATGTAATGCTACTTTTCTAATACACAGGATTCATGGGTCCAGGAGTCAAGGGCTAAAAATGGAAATGGAACCAGTCACTATTGCCCTTGTTGACCTACTAGCAAAATATTTGATTTCTGTCCCCATGACCTTATTCTCTGCTGCCTAGAGGGCTTAATTCCAAAGGAAGGAATGGTTCTAGCAGAAGATACACCATAATTTAATTGAACTAGAAGTTAAGACGGCTACCTGGCAATTTTGGGCTCCTCATGCCTCTGAATCAACAGGGAAAACAGGGAGTAACTGTGCTGGCTGGCTGGATTAATTCTGACTATCAAGGTAAATTAGACTACTATCCTTAAAATGGAGATAAGAAAAAAAATATGTATAGAAATCCCTTAGGGTGCCTCTTAGTATCATTATTACCTGTGTTTAAAGTCAAGAGGAAACTGCAATAACCCTATTCAGGCAAAACACTTATGGCCCAGACCCTTCAAGAATGAATTTTTGAGTCACTCTTTTAGGTGAGAATTACAAATTTGCATTACAGTTTTAAGTATAGTATATTATTTAAGTATAGTATATATTAAGTACATATTTAAGAATAGTATATTATATTAAGTAGAAGTGTGATCCTGCCACTGTTTTTATTTGAAGATTAGGTATTAAGGAGTTCTATACGGGTTTCAAGCTACAAAGGCATGGAATTATAATGGTTAATTTTATATGTCAACATGACTGGGACACAGTAACTAGATATTTGATCAAATAACACTCTACCAAAGATTGTTGTGAAGGTATTTTTAGAAGAGATTTAATCATTAAGCCTTGAATAAAAAAGATGATCCTTCATAATGTAGATGGACCTCATTCAATCATTTGAAGTTCTTAAGAAAAAAAAGACCAAAGTTCCTGGAGGTAAAGAGATTTCTGCCTCCAGATTGTAGACAGACTTGAGCTACAAAAATTCCCCAGGACTCTAGCCTACTGGACATCCTACTGGTTCTATTTCTCTGGAGAACTTTAACACTTCACCTAAGTAAAGTTATACAAAATTTGTCCTTTTGTGATTGCCATACTTCACTTAGCAGAATGTCTCACAGTTTATGTGCATTGTCACATGTGTTAGAATTTCCTTCACATTTTAATGCTGAATCTTGTATTCCATTGTTTGTTGTCTTAGTCCATTTTATGTTGCAATAACAGTATCATAGACTGGATTATTCATGAAGAAAATAAATTTGTTTCTCAGAGTCCTAGAGGCTGGGATGTTCAGGATCAAAGTGCCAGCTTCTGGTGAGGACCACCATGGCAGAAGGTGGAAGGGCAAGAGAGTACAAAAGGGTAAGCAGAAAAGTGGCCACACTCACTCCTGAACTCACTCCTGAAGTAACACCATTACTTCATTCACGAGTGCAGAGCTCTCATGACCTAATTACTTTCAAATTGTCCACCCCTCAACACTGTTGCATTGGGGAATGAGTTGACAAATGAACTTTAGGTGACACATTCAAGCCAGAGCATTTGTAAATAACACATTGATTTTATTCATTCATCCATTTTAAAGAACACTTTGTTGCTTGCACCTTTTGGCTCTTATGAATAGTCCTGCTAAAAATAACAGTGTACAAATATCTATTATTGCCTGATTTCCATCCCTTTGAGTATCTACCCAAATGTGGAATTTCTGGATCTAACAGTGATTCTGGTGTTTACTTTTCAGGAATTGTCGTACTATTTTCCATAGCAGCTATAATATTTTACTTTTCTACCAGCTCCACATCTATGTAAATACTTGTGATTATTTATTTTTTAAAAAATAATGACCAATGTAATGATATAAAATAATATCTTTTGGGGACTCTTTTTGTATTTCCTTAATGATCAGTAATATTAGTCACTCTTTCATGTGCTTATTAGTCATTTATATGTCTTCTTTGGAGAAACATCTATTCAAGGCCTTTGTCCAGTTAATGTGATATACATATATTTTTAAGTTGTAGGAGTTCTTTTCATTTTCTGGATATCAATTAATCATCAGCTGTATAATTTATAAATATTTTAATTCCATGGGTTACTTTTTCACTCTGTTTAGAGTATATTCTGATGTACAAATATTTTTAATTTTACCTGAGCTTATGATTTCATATCCAAGAAATCATTGCTAGATCCAATGTCATGAGGTTTCCTCAGTATTCTGTTAAGAATTTTATAATATTAGTGCATAAATTTAGGTCTTTAATCAATTTTGAGTTAATTTCTGTATATGTCATAGGGTAAGATTCCAACTTTATTATTTTAAATATGGATATACATTTTCCCCTAAATCATTGGTTTAAAAGACTGTATTTTTTTTCCATTGAATAACATTAGCATATAGGACACATATGTAAAGCATTATTTCTGGAATCTCTATTTTATGTCATTAGTATATTTATATGCCTTTATGTCAGTACTACACGTTCTTATAATTATTGCTGAAGCCATATAGTAAGTTTTAAAATTAAATGTGAAACATCCAACTTTTTCTTTTTCAATATAGTTTTGGTTATTGGGGTCCTTTGGGATTCCATGTAAACTTTGGAATAAATGTTTTCATATTTTCAACAAAACATCATTGGAATTTTGACAGTGATTGTATTCAATCTGTAGATTGCTTTGAGTAGTATTGATACCTTAAAAATACTAAGGCATCCAATTTATGAACATGGAATGTCTTTACATTTATTTTTGTCTTTAATTTTTCTAAACAGTGTTTTATATTTTACCTCTGATATAGTTTGGCTCTGTATCCCCACCTAAATCTCATCTTGAATTTTGCTTTCATAATTCCCACATGTTGTGGGAGGAACCTGGTGGGAGATAATGAATCATGGAGGCAATTTTTTCCATACTGTTCTCATAGTAATGAATAAGTCTCATGAGATCTGATGTTTTTATTAGGGGTTTCTGCTTTTGCATCTTCCTCATTTTCTCTTGCTGCTGCCATGTAAGATGTGCCTTTTCCTCCTGCCATGATTCTGAGGCCTCCCCAGCCACGTAGAACTGTAAGTCAATTAAACCTCTTTTCTTTCCCAGTCTCAGGTATGTCTTTATCAGCAGCATGAAAACAGGCTAATACAATGAATTGATACCAGTAGAGTGGGACGTTGCTGCAAAGATACCAGAAAATGCAGAAGCAACTTTGGAACTGGGTAACAGGCAGAGGTTGGAACAGTTAGGAGGCCTCAGAGGAAGACAGAAACATGTGGGAAAGTTTGAAACTTCCTAGAAATTTGTTGAATGGCTTTGACCAAAAGCCTGGTACTGATATGGACTACAAGGTCCAGCCTGAGGTGGTCTCAGATGGAGATGATGTACTTATTGGGAACTGGAGAAAAGATGACTTGTGTTATGTTTTAGCAAAGAGGCTGGAGGCATTTTACTCCTGCCCTAGAGATTTGTGGAACTTTGAACTTGAGAGAGATGATTTAGGGAATCTGGCGAAAGAAATTTCTAAGCAGCAAAGCATTCAAGATGTGACATGGTGCTTTTAAAGGCATTCAGTTTTATAAGGGAAGCAGAGCATGAAAGTTCAGGAAATTTGCAGCTTGACAATGCGATGGAAAAGAAAAACCCATTTTCTAAGGAGAAACTCAAGCTGGCTGCAGACGTTTGCATAAGTAACAAGGAGCCAAATGTTAATCCCCAAGAGAATGGAAAAAATATCTCCAGGACATTTCAGAGGCTTTTATGGCAGCCCCTCCCATCACAGGCCTGGATGCCTGGGAGAAAATGGTTTCATGGGTCAGGTCCAGGGTCCTCTTGCTGTGTGCAGCCTAGGATCTTACTGCCCTGCATTCCAGCCACTCCAGGCATGGCTGAAAAGGGCCAACGTAGAGCTTGGGCCTTGGCTTTAGAGGGTGCAAGCCCCAGCCTTGGCAGCTTCCACATGGTGTTGAGCCTGCGAGTGCACAGAAGAATTAAGGTTTGGGAACCTCCGCCTAGATTTCAGAAGACATATAGAAACACCTGGATGCCCAGGCAGAAGTTTGCTGCAGGGGCAGGGCCCTCATGGAGAACCTTCAGTAGGGCAGTGCAGAAGGGAAATGTAGGGGTCAGAGTCCCTACTTGGGCACCACCTAGTGGAGCTGTGAGAAGAGGGCCACCATCCTCCAGACCCCAGAATAATAGACCCAATGACAGCTTGCACCATTCACCTGGAAAAGCCACAGACACTCAATGCCAGCCCATGAAAACAGCTGGGAGGGAGGCTGCATACTGCAAAGCCACAGAGGCAGAGCTGTCAAAGACCATGGGAACCAACCTCTTGCATCAGCATGACCTGGATGTGAGACCTGGAGTCAAAGGACATCATTTTGTAGCTTTAAAATTTGACTACTCTGCTGATTTTGGACTTGTATGGGGCCTGTATCCCCTTTGTTCTGGCCAATTTCTTCCATGTGGAATGGCTGTATTTACCTAAAAACTGTATTCCCATTGTATCTAGGAAGTAACTAGCATGCCTTTGATTTTACAGGCTCATAGGTGGAAAGGGCTTGCCTTGTCTCAGACAAGACTTTGGACTGTGGACTGTGGGTTAATGCAGAAATTAGTTAAGATTTTTGGGGACTGTTGAGAAGGCATGATTGGTCTTGAAATGTGAGGATATGAGATTTGGAGGGACCAGGGGTGGAATGATATGGTTTGGCTCTGTGTTCCCACCCAAATCTCATCTTGAATTGCATTCCCATAATTCCCATGTATTGTGGGAGAGATTCGGTGGGAAGTAAATTGAATCCTGGGGATGGTTTCCCCCATATTTTTCTCGTGGTAGGGAATAAGTCTCATGACATCTGATGGTTTTATCAGGGGTTTCTGCTTTTGCATCTTCCTCATTTTCTCTTGCCACCACCATATAAGAAGTGCCTTTCGCCTCCTGACATGATTCTGAGGTCTTCCCAGCCATGCAAAACTGTAAGTCCAATTAAACCTTTTTTTCGTTTCCAGTCTTGGGTTTATCTTTATTAGCAGTGTTAAAACAAACTAATACAACCCCCTTGGTTAAATTCATTCCAAAGCATTTTATTCTTTTTGATGCATTGTACATGAAATTGTTATCTTAAACTTTTTTCAAATTGTCCGTTCTTAGAGTGTAAAAGCACAACTGATTTTTTATCTTATACCTTGCAATTTTGCTCAATGTCCATATTCATTGTAATAGTCTTGTCTTCATGGAAACATTATGGTTCTCTACATATAAGGTTATGCCATCTGATTTCAGAGATAATGTTAATTATTTCTTTTCAATTTTGACCTTTTTTTGTATTTTTTCTATCTTAATTTCTCTGTCTAGGGAATTACAGTACTATGATGAATGCAAGTGGCAAAAGTAGCCATTTTTATTTTGTTCCTAATCTTTTAGAAAAATATTTCAATTTTTGCCATTGACTATAATGTTAGCTGAAGGATTTTCATATATAACATTTATAATATTGATGTAGTTTTTGTATGCTTAGTTTATTTACTGCTTCTATTACAAAAGTGTTGAATTTTGTCAAATGCTTTTTTTCTGCATTAATGGAGGTTATGTGGGGTTTTTCTTCATTCTATTAACGTGCTATTTAAGTTTATTTTACTATGTTGAACCATCTTTGCATTCCATTAATAAATGTAACTTAGTTATCATTTATAATACTTTCAATCTGATGAATTTATGTTGAATTTTGTTTCCTAGTATTTTAATAAGCATTTATATTAATATTCTAAAGGCATATTGGTTTGTAGGGTTTTTTTTGTACTATCTTTGACTGGCTTTGGTATCAAGGTAATACTGAACTCATAAAATAATTTGAAGTATTTTTTTTCATGTAAGTCCTTTCAGGCTACTGTGACAAAATACTAGTTTGTGTGGTTTAAACAAAAAACATTTATTTTTCACAGTTCTAAGGCTGAGAAGTCCAAGAAAAAGTGCTGGCCAGGTGCCTCTTCCTAGCTTGTAGATGACCACCTCCTTGCTGTGTTCTCATGTGGTACAGAGAGAGTGATTTCTCTCTTTTTCTTCTTATAAAGCATTAATCTCACCACCAGGGCCCCACTCTCATGACCTCATCGAACTCTAATTGCCCTCCAAAGGCCACATCTCCAATACAGGTACATTGCGGTTTAGGACTTTAGCATATAAATTTTTGAAGAAACACAATTTAGTCCATAACACCTCATTTTCAACTTTTCAAAGACTTTGAGAAATATTAGTGTTAATTATTTTTTAAATGTATTGTCAAATTTACCAGCAAAGTTATCTGTTTCTGGGATTTTCCTTG
Source organism: Homo sapiens (assembly GCF_000001405.40). Lineage (NCBI taxonomy): Eukaryota > Metazoa > Chordata > Mammalia > Primates > Hominidae > Homo > Homo sapiens. The sequence goes on from NC_000003.12 coordinate 83,758,357, forward strand.
TTTGGAAGTTTTTGATTACTGATTTTGATTACTGATAGTGTTATTGATCTATTCATACTTTCCATTTCTTCACAATTCAATTTTGATGGGTTGTGTTTTTCTAGGAATATGTTCATTACTTCTAGATTACCTAAAATATTGGCATACAACTGTTTGTATTACACATTTATAATATTATGAAGATAAATTTAAAATTATTTCTATGATTATCTTTAAAATTCAGTAGAATAAAAAAAAATTAAAACCAAAGAATTTTATATTTTTCTATGACTTTAAGTTGCTGTCTAATGTCCTTTTCATTTTAATTCTCAGTTGACTTTCTTTCTTTCAGCACTTTAGATATATAATTCTACTCTCTTGGCCTGCAAGCTTACCACAGAGGAATCCTCTGATAGTCTACTTGAGGATGCCTTGTACATAAAAAGTCATGTTTTTTCTTGTTGCTTTTAAAATTCCCTCCTTGTTTTTCAACCATTTGATTATAATGTGTCTCATTATGAGTAACTTTGAATTTTATTCTACTAGTGTTTATTGAGCTTCCTGAATTTGTATATCCATGACTTTTCTTTTTCAAATTTGGGAAGTTTTCAGCCATTACTTTTTTCAGATAAGTTCTTTGTCTCTTTCTCTCTCTGTCTTTACTTGCCTATTAAAGTCTGCTGTTAGATCCCAGCTTTTATTTGTTTTAGTTCTTGAGTTTCTATTTATTTCTTTATTTGTAATTCTTAGCTGTTTGCTGATATTTTAATTATGTTCATATGTTATTTTCCTGACTTCCTTTATCTCTTTGAGCATATTTAGTACAGTTAATTTAAATTCTTTGTCTAGCAAATATAATATCTGTGTTTCTTCTGTGATGGTTTCTGAATATTACTGTTGTTACTTTAAATAGGCCATGTTTTCATATTTCTTTGTATGCTTTATGACTGTTTGTTAGAAACTTGGCATTTGTCTAAACAACCACTGATCCCAGTCTTTATAGGATTGCTCTGTGCAAGGAAATACATTCACTTTTTACCCTGGCACATACTTTTAAGGTCTTCTCAGACTTATATGGAACATGCATCTTCCCTGAGTCTGTGTGCTTGCATTAATTTTTTTTTAATTATCCTGCATCTGTGGCTGCTTTCTAAATGTTGATTTCGCTAGGAATCACACAGTTGCTTCTCCTAATTGACTTCACTTCTCTACTGTATTCCACAAACAGTATTTTCTTGCCCCAAGAATGTCATAACCAAGAATGTCATAATGGCAGAGGAGTAGAAACAAAGTAAAATTGAACAGACCATATAATCCAGGAAGATACTTATATCAACTTTTTTTTTTTTTTTTTTTTTTTGAGATGGAGTCTCGCTCTGTCGCCCAGACTGGAGTGCAGTGGCGCGATCTCCGCTCACTGCAAGCTCTGCCTCCTGGGTTCACGCCGTTCTCCGGCCTCAGCTTCCCGAGTAGCTGAGACTACAGGTGCCCACCACCACGCATGGCTAATTTTTTTGTATTTTTAGTAGAGACGGGGTTTCTCCGTGTTAGCCAGGATGGTCTTGATCTCCTGAACCTTGTGATACGCCCACCTCGGCCTCCCAAAGTGCTGAGGTTACAGGCTTGAGCCACCGCGCCTGGCCTACATCAACATTTTCTTTCTTTCTTTCTTTTCTTTTTTTTTTTTTTTTTTTTTTTTCCCGAGACGTAGTTTTGCTTCTGTTGTCCAGGCTGGAGTGCAGCGGCACAATCTCGGCTCACTGAAACCTCCACCTCCGGGGTTCAAACGATTCTCCTGCCTCAGCCTCCTGAGTAGCTGGGATAACAGGCGCCCACCACTGGGATCGGTTAATTTTTTGTATTTTTAGTAGAGACAGAGTTTCACCATGTTGGCCAGGCTGGTCTCGAACTCCTGACTTCAAGTGATCCACCCTCCTTGGCCTCCCAAAGTGCAGAGATCACAGGCGTGAGCCACAGCCCCTGGCCTACATCAGTATTTTCAACTATTTTTTACAAAGGCGGAAATTCAATTGAAGAAGGATTGCCTTTTTAAATGACTGTGGAGTAATTGGACATTTTTATAGGTTAAAATGAAAAAAAAAAAAAAGAAACAAACCAATAAAAGAAACAAACAAATGAAAACCCTTCAGCCTAAATATCACACTTTATTAAAAAATTAATTCAAGATTTTCAAAGTAGATCATAAACTTAAATGTAAAATGTGAAACCATGAAAGTATAAGGCTATTTAAGAAGAGAGAAAACTTTGGAATCTAGAGGTAGATAAAAAAATTCTTAAACTTGAGACCGGAAGAGTAATTCATGAAAGGAAAGATTGATAACTTGTATTTCATTAAAATTAAAATGTTTGCTATATGGCGTACTATGTTAATAGAATAAAGGATGATCTAGAGTAGGAGAAAATATTTTAATATCATGTGTGCAACAAAGGACTGGTAACTAGAATATATAAAGAATTCATCCAATTCAACAGCAAAATTAAAAAAAAAATGAAAATGGACCAAACACATTAAGAGACAGCATATAAAGGAAAATATACACTGGAAAGTAAGCACATGTAAAGATAACATTATTATTAACTGTTGGAGAAATGCAAATTAAAGCCACAATAATATGTCACTCTCACCTGCCAGAATGGCTAAAATTAATAATAATAATAACAACAACAATACCAAGGACAGAAGAGAAGTTGGATAAACTGGGTCAAGAAAGCAGTTCTACTAGGATTGTAAAATGGTACAACTATTCTTGAAAACAATTTGGCAGTTTTTTTTTTTTTTTTTTGAAAAAACAAAGCATGCCAATATTATACATTCCAGCAATCACACTCCTGGGCACTTATCCCAAAGAAATAAAATTTATATTCCCACTGAAACCTATACAAAAACTATTACAGCAAAATTTTTTATAATAGCCCCAAATTGGAAGCAACCCTGATTTTCTCCAAATGGCAAACAGTTAAACTAACCATGTTATATTCTCATGAAATACTGGTCAGCAACAAATAAAAACAAACCACTGATACATTGTAGACCTGAGAGAATCTCCAGAGGATTTTGCTGAATGAAAAAATTTAAAAAAGCCAATTCCTAAAATCCATAAAATCGTCTCTGAAAAATTTTATTTGTATAACAGTTTTGAACTGAAAAAATTTCTAGAAATGGAGGACTAATTAGTGGTTGCCAATTTTTAAGGAGTGGGTATGGGATGGAGAGCAGTGAGTGGTGAGTGTGATTATAAAAGGCAGTATTAGAGATCCGTGAGGTGATGGAAATGTTTGTATCTTGACTTACCAATATCAATAAGCTAGTTGTAATAATGAACTAGTGATGTAAGATATTACCATCGAGGAAAACTAGATAAAATGCACGAGGAGTCTCTTTGCATTCGCATTCTTTCCTGTTGTTTTTTTTTTTTTTTTTTTCCGTGTAGTGGAGACATAGTCTCACCATGTTGCCCAGAGAGGTCTCAAACTCCTAGGCTCAAGAAATCCTACTGTCTCTGCCTCCCTAAGTGCTGGGATTAGAGGTGTGAGTCACTGTGCCTAGACTGCATTATTTCTTATAACTGCATATTTTACAATTATTTCTAAAAAGAAGTTTACTATTTGTAAAAACCGTGTGTTTATGTAGCTGTACAAGATGGACTATCACCTATTAAAATTATAAAAGTAGAAATATTTTTAAAAATAAAATAAGATCAGTTGAGCATCCTTAACGTCTTTGTTTTATATAAGAAAATAAAAAAATATAATGCCATATGGTCAAAGAAATGTAATAACTTTGCTGTGGAAATGACCTATTATAGAGAACAAAATATCAGAATTTCAAATTAATGACAAATGGTATTTCTTCATTTGATGACTACAATATGAATGAGTACAATATGTTGTTAGATAATATTAAGAAAATATTGAAATAGGAAATTGTGAAAACTGAAGTAAAAACAAATTGAATAAATTTGAAGTCTATGTTTTATTCAAAATTCTAACAGTAATTATGTGACATATGATTTGATGTTCAGACCATAAAAATTAGCTAGAATTTTTTTAATTTAAAATATATTGTTATCTCTATAAATCAATAATATAATAAGCTTGAAACCACTACTTTAAAATATATGCACATTTCACAAACAGATAGAAGATAACATATAAGAAAGACAGTATTTGTGTTCAAGTAGTAGAACTTCAGACGAGATCTTTCTAATTCTCTACTTTGTAAATTTTCTTCAGCACAATCTTGTTACAATAAGAATAGCTAAGGCCAGGAGCGGTGGCTCATGCCTGTAATCCCAGCACTTTGGGAGGCTGAGGCGGGCAGATCACCTGAGGTCAGCAGTTCGAGAACAGCCTTACCAACATGGAGAAACCACGTCTCTACTAAAAATACAAAATTAGCCGGGCATGGTGGCACATGCCTGTAATCCCAGCTACTCGGGAGGCTGAGGCAGGAGAATGGCTTGAACCCGGTAGGCAGAGGTTGCAGTGAGCTGAGATCGTGCCAGTTGCACTCTAGCCTGGGTAACAACAGAGAAACTCCGTCTCAAAAAAAAAAAAAAAAAAAAAAAAAAGAGAGAAAAAAGGAAAGAAAAAGAAAACAAAAAAGAATAACTTCAAGCATCTTACCAGAGAAAGTTAAATACTGCTTAATGTAGACAGAGGGGCAGAAGGTGAAAATGGGAACTTATTTTGCAGTCAGCCTCAATATGTCAGGGGCACCTGAAAATATTGCCAACGGGGAATTCTAAGGCAAATTAAAAAAGAATGTGCAATAAATAATACACTGTGACCCAAACCTTTGAAGTCACTGAGAACACATATCTTTGAATTACCCTGCAGATATTTCAGTTCATAATATGCAAAAGGTATCGTGCTATATTGGCCTGGTCCAGAAATGGTGTTGGTTAAGGCTACAGACTGGACTTACTGAAGAATGGAGAGCCAAGAAATTGACCTTTGATTAATTCAGTCTTTCAATAATTGCTCAGAATTGACTGGGTCTACAATTTGTTGTTTGCACTTGAAAATAGGCAAGTTTGTTGTCAGTTTCTAAAACAGTGAAGAGAGCCAGTGGATTGTACAAAAATCCCTCAGAGGAGAATGAAGACTTCTTAATGGGCACAACAAACATCTTAATAGACATAAGGAGATCCTCTTTCTGCTGCGAGATTATCATAAGTACCGGCCAAATTTGTGAAGACTTGAAAGTAGGGAAAATAGCTCTTCTGGCTTCTGCCTCCTCATTTATGTGACAACTTCACCCAATAAATCTTGTATTTTCTCCCCAGACGATGTCTGATTGTTTTCTTAGCTCTATAGATATCTTTCCAATAAATAAGTTAAATAATTGGGAAAACCATGCAAATGGAAATCAAAATATGTGAAGTATTCATCTCCCTCAACTGGGCTTGCAGTCTATCTGGTGACTCAGAAACACCAGAATTATCATACTTTCAAATAGATACGAAAAATTAAAAGTGCCAAATGAGTTCTGACCTCAGAACGCTCAATTCTAGCTGTCAAAGATATTCTACAGGAAAAGATGTGAATTCATCTTCTCCCAAATGGTTTAAGAGGAATTGTATAGACAGGAGAGATAGAAATTTGCATGAAGAAATTTATAGGGTTGAAAAATGTAAGATATGTCAGCGATGAGTAGATCAGTGTAAATGGAATGAAAGGCTCATGCTTTTTCTATTACACCATTGATATCAAGTCCTTTAGTTGACTAACAATTGATGGCTCCTATATGTGCCACTTAAGTGTAAACGAAAATAAAATGCTTGCATATGCTCAAATAGAATTATATTTTATTAGTATAGGATCAAGGTGCCCTTCACCAAATTCCTAAAATATCTATTTAACTAAATATCTAGCTAAATAGTTGTTTAGCAGTTTGATTGTATTTTATAGAAAAAAGAATGTGCTTTTCTAGAACTAAAAAATTTTATATATGTACAAATATGCTAGTATCCTTTAATTAACTGACTTTTCCAATATACTTAATACTGAAATTGGCATTTGTTAATTAGGAAATATTGATGAATATTTTCTTTGTTGATAGAAGAATATATATATATATATATATATATATATATATATATATATATATTTAGTCCACTTGTGGAAGTAAACCAATATGTCATAAAAATCAATTTATCTTAAACAACAAACATATTTATAGTTAGGATATAGGAGAATTGCAGAACTGAAGAACAAATGCTACTAGAAGAACAGGTAGCACTCCAAAGAAAGGCTGAATATAAACCAGAGGGTAGAAAAAAAGACGGACAGCAAGCTGTAGCTGTTGCTGAGATGAATTTGAGCCCTAATAAAACTTTGGCTCTCCCCAAGCAATCTTGAAATCTTATTGACCATAAAATACGTAGCTCTCTTCTATCATTGTCATCTCTATCCATTATCTATATTAGGTTAACAATATACATACTCTAGCTTGATATACATATACACAATAAAATCTAGTTTTAAAAACTGTCTATTTGGTTAAATTACCAAGAAGACATCTCAAGAATGAAATATAAATATTTTTTTCTATGGGATGTGTTTTCTGATACAGATAAACTTCTTCCTACTATTCAAACTTTCGTAACACTCTCCCTTTTTCATACTAAACTCATACTTTCATTGTGCACCATTTTTGCCCTTAAATAGGTACAACTTGCTATTGTTCTGCCTAAATGCACTTCCTTTGACTCCTATTATGGCTGCCTCCTTCTCCACATTGAGCATTCTCTGCTCATTCCTTCATCACATTGTTATATAAAATTCCTCGTGTGTTTTCTGGTTAGCTCTTATCACAATATGATTAAATTTTGTTTGTGTGTTTACTTACTGGTTGACTTTTAATAATGTCATGAGTGTTGAAGCATCTGTGGGCCCAAAACCACATTGTGCCTGGCTTACAATACATGACACTCTTTTATAGTCAATTACATTGCAAAATTGCTTAGGAAAGAGCCAAGACTTTACATTGCTGATAAAGCCACTATAGTAACTATCACAGTGCTGAATATCTAACTGGTACTTAATATTATTGACCAATTGACCAAGTTGCATCTGTTAATTGCATACATGTCATTAAATACCTGTTGACTAAATGAGTGAATGATGCTTCACCCTTTAGAAATTATGGGACAACCCAGCACTTTGGGAGGCCTAGGTGGGTTGATTATTTGAGGTCAGGAGATTGAGTCCAGCCTGGCCAATATGGTGAAACCCTATTCTACAAAAAATTAAAAAAAAAATTAGCTAGGAATGGTGTTGGGTGCCTGTAATCCCAGCTACTCATGAAGCTGAGGCAGGAGAATCACTTGAACCCAAGAGGCGGAGGTTGCAGAGAGCCGAGATGACGCCATTGCACTCCAGCCTGGGTGACAAGAGCAAAACTCAATCTCAAAAAAAAAGAAAAAGAAAGAAAGAAAAGAAATTATGAGACTAGATCACTAGCCTGAAACTAAAATATAATTTGTAAATACTGATTTGCAGAAAGAAATAAGAATAATAATAAATTTTCTTGGGCTTTGTAGAAGGTGAGAGTGCCTTTCATTTCTCAAAGAATATGCTATTTCTAGCTATGCAAATTCATATTTTGTGCAAGGTTAAAGAGTATAACATACAGTTCATGCTAATACTGAAAATTAAATTTGGACATGGCTATTGTCCCCAAATCAAGGGAGAAACATTTAAAATCCAGTTGAATCAATTCTCTGAAATATTACAGCTGTAGCAAATGTCAATACAGAGTGACAGAGGCAGCTGCTGGATAATCTCAAGGGCCAAACATTCAATGTGTTCCATAGTTCAAGATGTGAAAATTCTTTGGCCACAGTACATAATGACTTGAGGCTTTCATTCACTGTGTGGGGAGAGTGGAGAGCATGGAAGAGCTCCATATCAAATTTTTAAATACTAACCCAAATGAAGGTGAAAATGTCTCCAGTAACGTTCACAGATTGGGGTAAAGATTATGACAAAAACAGTGACTAAAGCAGAAATGCTTATAGACTATGTGGTTTGGCAGAAGACTTTTACAAGGCGAACTATTTATAATAAAACATTAGAGGTAATGAAAACAGGTCAGATTCTTAATTACTCATCATTGATAGAAATGATTAAAGAGCACAGCAAATTAGCTACAAAGAATTAGCAGAGAGAAAGGCAATGCAGTAAATATTCTATGCTATAGGTTGGGTATTCAAAATGAGAATAGAGAAGAGTTTGGTATACAATTTTACAACCTAATGGGTGAAATCCACACTTTTGTCCATCTTTTTACTTTATTTAACCTTGGGAAATTAGAGCTATAGCAATAAAAATCAGTTTGAGAAAAGTTCAGCTATAGTTTCTTATTCTAGTAAATTAAATGGATAAAAGCAAATTGCTCTTATTTGGAAATTTAATTTAAGTCATACATATGTATCAATACTTCTGCAAACAAACCACATCACAACCCAGTGGCTTCAAACAATAATTTATTATCTTTTATTCTTCTATGGGGGAACTATATGGTTCTCCCTTGGGTTATGTCAAGTGGTTGTGGTAAGATACTACAGTCATTTGAAGTTTTCTCTTCAGTGGACTTTAAAGAAGGCTTATTCATATGGTGGCAGTTGATACTCATTATCGCCTGGTAGCTGTTATGTTCCTGACTACCAGAGGATGATAATGTGATCATTCTATGGGATTATTTTGACTTCCTACACTATGGCTGCTGAATTCTCAAGAAAAGTATCATCACGAAAGGACTCCAAGGAATGCGTAGCTGTCACCCTTTTAAGAACTGGACCCAATACATGTACACAGTCACCTCTTAACTTTTGTTGTGTAAAGCGGTAATGAAATTTGTATAATTATAAAGTGAAGTGGCAGAAATCCTGTTTTTCAACTGGAGAAAAGTCAAAGAATTTGTAGTCATTTTAAATTTTCCATTAGAAGTGGGATTTAATAGTGATACTTAGAAACCATTATATTTAAATAAGGATTGGAAAACAAAAATCCTACATGCTTTGAAAGACTTAACTCTTTGGCCACAAGAAAATTAATTACCAGTGTCAAGGTATCGTATGAATATGTATTCATGTATTCATTTTCAAAGCTGCATGTGTGATGGAATAGTTTAAATGCATTGCTGTGCCTAGACTATTGCACCATTGCTAAAATTAATGCTCCCATACAAGAAAGAAAAATCAATTTGCATTGATTAGGGAGTACTGTGAACAGAAACATAGTATCAAAATCCATCCTGACTTGAAATTTTGAAATTGTATTGTCAGAGACGTAGACATGAATTTTTTTCCATTTGTATATGACAAAAGACTTCAGAATGAGAATATATTTTCTGTACACCCTGAGAAATTTTACCTTAGTAGCTCCACAGGACCTGTAGAATGAAAAACATATCTGAAGACTAAACTTATTTTTATGTCTTCATTGTCTTTAACTCAGAAAGGAGACTTGGAATGTACCCAGGGAGGTGAATTCCCTATTCAACTATATTCCTGTGTTATGAAAGAGATCTCCATGGTGGATTTCAAATAATACACATTAATGCAGGACAAGGAAAAAACTGTGTCCAGAAAATTTTACCAAAAATATGCCACAAGGTATTTCGAGAACCATCTTTCAGAACACAATGGAAAATTAGATCAATGATCCAATTGCTAGATTCTATTCATCTACATGAATGGGATCAATAAATTTTGGAAACCTGGAAAACCATGAGATGGGAACATAAACAGCATTTATACGAGATGAAAAGTTGGGGTTAACATGTATATTTCAAGGAACTTTTTTAGTTTATTTGCTCATCTTTTTTATTTGGTTTGTTTTTAGACTATGTAAGTTATTTCAAATTTCAAAGGAGTCTGGTTGTTTTAAGAACTTGGAGTGTTTAGGACACAAAAATAAATAAGTAAAGGATAAAGTCTTAAGAACATACTAATTCAAAAATATATATATAATATGAGCATTTGCTGTGGAAACCTGGAGGCTGTTGAAGTGAAATCAGATTCTCAATTACTCAAGGTTGATAAAAAAATAAATCTATGGGGGTGAACATAAGTGTCTTATCATGTTAAGATGAATAAAATTAAATAAAATAAATAAATGACAATTACTTTATTATATTTGATACTAAGATTTTACCTAAAATGATATGTATTTGTTAAATTCATTTCATGGGCTCCTATATTCATGATGTGCACATGCCATGAATTTGTCTGTATAAGTTCTAGCATGCAGTACATTTATGAACCTTACTTTTATAATATTTCTTATTCATACAATTCAAAAATTATGAAAACTACATATGCAAAGGATAAATGGAATTCTGTCTTTGAGGAGGAAGAATTTTCTATCATATGTTAATTTTTCCTGAAATAATACTAAATGTTTAAATTTCATAGTGAAGCTCCTATTTATGTACAAACACTTAATAAAGAGAAAGTAGTTGAACTTGCTTGATAACTGAGGTAAAATATGTGAGATGGAAGCAACCTGGTAACAAGGGCCATCCCTGGTCCTGTTTAAGTGTCAGGTACTGTACCTTCAAATCTTTACAGATGGTTTTCTCTACAGTCTTGGATACTGGCTTAAAAACTTCTCAAGCCAGTAAACCATGGTAAATGTATGGTTTAATCATTTTAAACCATTAATCATTAAACAAAATTATTGATCACTTTAATCATTTTGTTTTCTCTCTCTTAGGTTTCACTCTCCTTCACTGGCTGATACCCAGTGTCATACAAAGCACAGTTTCATATATATTACTCCCTTTTTATTTATGTTTTATGTTTGTTTACATTTGTGTTTATTTTGCTTTGTTTTGTTTTGGACAGGATAGGAACTCTGGTCCTCATTACTCTATGTTGGCTGAAAGTAGAAGTTTCTTTTATCTAATAACTGTATATTTTATGATAAAATTAGTTCTACTTTTAATCTCTAAATACTGAAAATGCTGAACACTTTAATTATGTAATTTTTTTAAAAAATTAATTTATTGCTAAATTATAATTACATAATAAAAATAATTTTAATGGTACCTAACAGAAATTACGTACTCAAAAATGTTATATTATATTAACCATTCTAGGACTTATTCCCAACTCTCCCCTACCCACTGACAAAAACTTTCTCTTGAACCAAACTTCAGTTTGGCTCCTCTGAACCTTCTTCTAGAATAGGCCTCAAACTTGGGCTTCCATGTGCATCCTTACTGAGTCTTGTTTTAGTAGAAATATTGAATCAGTAATTTTTTAAAAATCAAATACATAATCATAATCAAATATAGACAGCATAGGACATATTCCTATAAGTAGAGTTGAATTATAGGAGTGGTCAAATTATAAAAATGCATATTTTATGACAATGACACTGTTACTTTGGTGAACATTAATTTTTTTTAGATATTTTTATTTATTATACTTTAAGTAACACTTCAAAATATTTTCAGATAATACTTATGGCAGTGGCGGGCAGTCTACTTCCGCGGCTACCATCACACTGGTTGCAGCAGCGAGGCCGTGGCTGGGGCTACATTTCACGGAGCCTTTGGGAACCCCACCCCTTCTGAGTTAAGGCAAGAGATCCCCAGGTGCTGCCGCAGCCGCCCAAACCACAGCTGCAGAATCAGGCCTCCTGCTCCATGGACCAGACAGAAGCCCCGCCCAGGAGTGTGGGGCTGCAGCCACCCAAACTGCAGCTGTGGATCCCAGCTCCCCTGTGCTCTTGTAGAGGCCGGAAGCAGGCAGAATCTCTGCCCTCCTGCGTGAAGGTGCAGCCACAGGTCGGCTGCAGACCCGGGCCTCCTGCTCCAGGGAGTAGGCAGGAGCTAGGGACCAGCTTTTTTGAATTAGTGGGCCAGGAACTTTCTGGTACAGCTGCGGAGGCCCTCCTTGGTTCAGCCTGCACCCTTGGGGCCCAGAAAAGTGCCCCACCCCATCCCTACAGGCTCAGGGGTGTCCGCTCCCACTTCCTGGCCTCTCTCTGCTCCCAGCACCTGCTCAGATCTTAGAGAAGGGTTGGGGCCAAGCTTCCAGGCCATGAATGGCAGCAGGAGGCATACGGATTTCTGGGAGGAAGAGGGCGGGACCCAGTAAGTCCCCACCTTCAGGTCAGATAGGGCCTGAAGGCTGGGGGCCAGGCTGCCAGTCCCAAAGACCAGAGTGGGGACTAGTAGTGCCTCTTCCATGCCTGCCCACAGAGCAATCAGCATGCACTTCCTCCCCTCTGAGGTCCATAAAAGCCCAGGGCTCAGCCAAAACAGGGGAGAGGAAGGTCAGAGCAGGACAGAGAGGATGGAGAGAGGACAGGATGACTAGCTGCGGAGAAGAGCTACCCTGTTCTGCTGGCAGCTGGAGATGATGGGAGGATCAGCTGCAGGGAGGAGCTACCCTCTCTCCTGAGAGCTGAACGCTGGAGGAGATGACCCATCTACAGAGAGGCGCTACCCACTGTGGGTCTCCTCTAAGCTGTTGTAACACTCAGCAAAGCTCCTGTTAGCCTTGTTCACCTTCTACTTATCTGCATACCTCATTCTTCCTGGAAACAGGACAAGAACTCAGGCAAAAGTGCAACCAGCCGCAGAGGTTTCCGGCCAGAAAAATGACACCCCAAAGATCTTGTAACAATATTTTCAGCTTAAAATAATATTTTGTATTTAAGAAAAGAAAAATATGCCTATTATTTGTAGTTATTATTTGTTGGTAAATTCCGATACTAAATATATTGCCTACTTATAATCAAAAATGTTACAAGCCAGTTGGAGAGTACTTAGCTCCATGGAATGTTTTTCTTTTGTCCCTTAAGTACTATAAGTTATACAAGAATCACTTAGATCCTGCAGTATAATCAGTGTATAAACAATATAAACTTTTGCTTTGTGGTATATCAGGGTGACATTTTTTGCGCCCTGGAGAAGGAAATAAAATTGTGGTGGTTTTCAGTACAGACAACTACATTCCAATTGAATGTTCTCACATTCATAGGCTGGATTCATACCTTATAATTATCAAAGAATAGATTTGTGTGTTTGACACTATTTTATTTTTTAGGTAGCATTATTGTATAAAACAAGAAAAGAGCCTTTCATTGACTTTGTATTCAGTTATAATTACTTGCTTTTGTTGTTGCATTGAGACTGCCTAATTAACACGTTTGTTTGTGTCGAGCAATTCCAAGATCCACAGGCAGGCACTTTGTGCAGCATTTAGTGGCACAGAAACCTATAAGGTATGTTCCAAGGGTACATATGAGACAAAGCGTATCAATTCTGCTTTGTAATAATCTGTTATTCATCATAGTCCAATAATAGATTTGTTTCCACAACAAAATTTATCAGCTATATTAGAAATGAAATCAAATCATAATTCATCTCTTAGAAGAGCAATGCTGTTTGGACAACCTGACCACAATTTGCAAGTCTTTCTGATACATCATCATTCTATGTTAAATAAATTAAAATATCAGTAGTCTGATTTAGGATGTGATATTTGTAAGTTGAATTATCTTTTCCATTCACTCTTTTAAATGCCTAAAGAAAACAAACAAAACATCTACTAACAGTAATTTTTTTTCAGGTAGAGAATCAGTGCTTCCTTCTTTCCATGTCTCATACAACAGCAATTTGGAGGTTGTACTTCTTTATATTACAAAATTTTCAAGGCAGAAAAAGATGGATGTAAGCACAGCTGTCATTCTGTGAAAATGATGAAAACTATAGGTGATGTTTTTGTTTCCTAGTTCTACTGTAACAAAATACCACAAAATTCATGGCTTAGAAGAACAAAAATATATTTTTCATAGTTCTGGAGGTGAGAAGTCTGAAATCAAGGTGTTGGTAGGGTTGGTTTATTCAAAGAGCTGTGAGGGCGTATCTATTTGATGCCTCTCTCCTCACTTCTGGTAGCCTCAGTTATTTCCTTGGTTTGTGGATGACCAACTGTATTTTTATGTTTTCCTTCTGTGTCTTTCTCCGTGTCTATATTCCTTCTTTTTATAAAAGCATGATCATATTGGAATAGATAATTATCTTAATTACCTCTATAAGCACTCCATTTCTAAGTAAGGTCACATTCACAGGCACCGGAAGTTAGGACCTCAGCATCTTTTTAGGTGACAGGATTCAATCCCTAACAGGTAGTGACAGAAAACAGAAAAACCTTCCTAGTGCATTCTGAGGTTATAGTTTTCAAAACATTTTTAGAGAGCTCTGACTTGGGAAAATGAAGACAATGCTGAATGGGTTTAAAGTTACGACATTCATAAATTATGAGAAATTTTGCTGAACAACTGTGTAAATTAATTTGCAGCAAAGTACTGCAACAGAACTTAACCTATACAGTTATTTCTCAATCAGTCTCCCCTGTCCTTCTCCCTCTCTTCTGTTCCAGTTATTTCATTTTGGGTTCTGGTTTTCCATAAAAGCAGAGTAATTATGGTTTTATTAATATGTGACAAAATAACAAGGAATCTTGTGGCCATGTAGTTATCACATTTGGGTATACAGTGACAGGTTAGAAAGAACACTTTTTGTTAATTTCTTTTTTTTTGCTTGAATATTTATGAACACAAAGGCGTTTAATATGTATTTCATGACCACTAGAAAGTAGAACATATCTTTAAGATCTGGACAAACTTTTGTTTTGTTTTTAAATTCTGGGTTTATTTTGACCTATGGCTGAGACTGGAAATCTGAAGCTGTAATCTCCTACACCTTTGAATGTCTACATTTGAGAAAATTCTTTACTTTTTCTGCGACATTTAAGAATACTTTGGTTTTTTTTACAAGTTAATAAGTTAGATTATAAAATATCTTAAGTTCAATAACTATTTTTAATTGGTTTGTAAAAATGTATAAGTACTTATGTGGATCAGTAGTTCCCCAGTTTTCCAAAAAGTAAAGAAACTGAAGTTAATGTGCTAGCCTTTTGAAAAAGGAAAAATCATACAGAAAATACTAGCTCAGAAACATTGTTATATAACAATTGAAGCATATGTTATTACGGTAAAATTTTGATTAATCCATCTAGTTTGATAATTTTTAAAAATAAGCTACTTTTCTTTGACTTTTATCAAGTATAAATATAATACAAGTGAACATGTTTGTCTTCATTTGCATGAGATATGTATCTGCCTTCTATTGAAGATCACTATTCTAAACTTAAACTTCATATCTTAGTTCACAGATCAGATAAGCTAAGATTACTCCTATAAAATTCTGGGATTGTGAAAAATATAAAAGTACGTATTAAATTACATCATATCATAATTCTGGCTAACATTTTTACAAGAATCATAATTAAGTTTTGAAACATGTCATTTGAACATAATTGCTAAGATCTAGCAAAGGATATGAGCAGACACTTCTCAAACGACGACATTTAGGTGGCCAACAAACATATGGGAAAAAAAGCACATCATCACTGGTCATTAGAGAAATGCAAATGAAAACCACAATGAGATACCATCTCATGCCAGTTAGAATGGCGATCCTTAAAAAGTCAGGAAATAACAGATGCTGATGAGGCTGTGGAGCAACAGGAACACTTTTACACTGTTGGTGGGAGTGTAAATTAGTTCAAGCATTGTGGAAGACAGTGTGGCAATTCCTCAAGGATCTAGAACTAGAAATACCATTTGACCTGGCAATCACGTTACTGGGTATATACCCAAAGGATTATACATCATTCTACTATAAAGACACATGCACACGTATGTTTACTGCAGCACTATTTACAATAACAATGACTTGGAACCACATCAATGATAGACTGGATAAAGAAAATGTGGCACATATACACCATGGAATACTATACAGTCATAAAAAAGACTGAGTTCATGTCCTTTGCAGGGACGTGGATGAAGCTGGAAACCATCATTCTCAGCAAACTACCACAGGAACAGGAAACCAAACACCACATGTTCTCACTCATAAGTGGGAGTTCAACGATGAGAACACATGAACACAGAGAGGGAAACATCACACACCAGGGCCTCTTGAGGTGTGAGGGACAAGGGGAGGGAGAGCGTTAGGACAAATACCTAATGTATGCAGGGCTTAAAACCTAATTGACGGGTTGATAGGTACAGGAAACCACTATGGCAATTGTATACCTATGTAACAAACCTGCACGTTCTACACATGTATTCCAGAACTTAAAGTAAAATAAAATAAAAAATTAAAGCCTTGAGCTAATATTAAAAATTGTGTTAGTTAATGACTTAATTTGGGATACCTGCATAATTTATAATAAACCAGTACTGAAATATTAATCACAATTCAGTCTTAAAATCTATATTTTTTATTTTTACATGTTACAAAATTGCTTAAATATACTGCCACTTTTAAAGTGTAAATTAACATGTGTGTGACTGTAGGATGTCTTATGATACATGCTTGAGATTTCCAGGCCAGCTAAAATAGTTATATATAGCTGACACTCAATACCTCCTCATTTTCTCTGTGCAATAGGGATTAGTTCATTTGGCTATGTTTCTAGTTAATATGGGTGACTAAAACTATAACAGAACTATTGGTAACAGAAAGTCTGATTATGTTTGCATATTAACATATTGTACTTTTGTGTATCAACACAAATATGAAAGAGTTTATGTGCTCAAATTAAGGCTGTGGTTGTTTCCAACTGTGAAAGAAGAGAGTAAGATACAAAACTGAAGTACATGTAAGAAACTGTAGAACATCTGTAAAAAGTAAACTTTATCTTGCTTCATAACAGATGCAAAAAATGAAGCTATGAAATATAATTTTGTCAACTATGCTCATTCCGTTCATATATTTATTATGTAATAAAAGTAATATATTTTGCTGCCAAATGTTTTATGAATGCAAATATAAAATTTGTCTTTTTTACTTTTAAAATTACAATCTTCATGTATTTAGGCTTCTCTTAATAACGAGGTTTTTGCCAGGCACGGTGGCTCATGCCTGTAATCCCAGCACTTTGGGAGGCCGAGACAGGAGGATCACGATGTCAAGAGTTTGAGACCAGCCTGGCCAACATGGTGAAACCCCGTCCCTACTAAGAATACAAAAATTAGCCAGGCTTGATGGTGCATGCCTGTAATCCCAGCTACTGGGGAGGCTGAGGCAGGAGAATCGCTTGAACCCGGGAGGTGGAGTTTGCAGTGAGCCGAGATCACGCCACTGCCTTCTGGCCTGGGCGACCAAGCAAGACTGGGTCTTGGAAAAACAAAAATAAAAATAATGAGTTATTAATGTTTTGTTTGTTTGTTTGTTTGTTTGTTTGTTTGAGATAGAGTCCCACTCTGTCACCCAAGCTGGAGTGCAATGGCGCCAATTTCAGCTCACAGCAACCTCCGCCCCCTGGGTTTAAGCAATTCTCCCGGCTTATTCATGTTATTCATTAAGATAGAGAGACAAACAGGGAAGATTCAGAAGGATATATATCCAAAGGACATATAAGCAGTAATAAATGTATTTATAGCTATAACAAAGAAACTTTGATATGTTATATTATGTTTCTAATTATATATTCTATATTTTTATACAATGAATATGTAATGTTTGTATTAACAACAAAAAGCAATAAAATGTATGATCCCAATTGTGAATAAAATTACACCAAAATAACTCTGGGTGAAAGGACTGTGGTATTTTTTTTATTTACTCTTATAGGCTATTCTGTATATTTCTTTAATGACCAGGTAAAACTTTTGTAATCTAAATTTTAAAATGCCATTTTTAATGAAACAAAACAAAATATTGTTTTTTACTTTCCTTGCAATCTGCCTGAATAGCAGAGTCTGTATCACTTCAGAATAATTTTCTGAGATTTGTGTTGACTTTATCATTTCTTTAATGATTAAATTTTTTTCTCACATCTAAAAGAATAATCTGCCATCATATATACATGTAATCTTCTATGTTTATTTTTAAATAATGTGTTGTCACTTTGTTTAAATATTAGAGTACTGTAAACAAATGAATTGTTCATATCGACTGCTTTAAAAAAATAGAATCATGTGTGTTGGTAATTTTATATAACAGTCAATATTTAGCCATATATTTAAATGTGTCATAACATATATTTGCATAAGCAAACAAATAGTGGCAGAAAATATATTAATATTTTAGCCATAATCATCTCTCATGATAAAGGAAACTCAGTATCCATCTGCCATCCTCATGCCACTCAATGTATAATGAAGAAAAATGTCAATATAATTTGGCCAATTTTGAAAAGTTTTAGGTGATAGGATACTAATAGGATTATATATAGCATATGTTTTGGCAACCTATAGTCTTGTGTCTTCCCAATATACAGCAATACATTGTCTTGTTCCTTCTCAATACTGCTGGGGCTCACTCCTCTTGTCTTCTATCAAGAACTTAAATTGAAATACAGAAAAGGGGACAAAATAATTTATTATTCAGCCTATGATAACATCCTTTATTATGTGGCTGAAATAAGTTATTCCATAACTTTAGTAAAAGTCAAAGTCATTCATATATTTTTATTCCATACTATGGTATATCTTTAGCAAATAGAAGAGACAAAATATATGGAGAGTAAGGTAAAAGTTGTATACAATGAGAATTTGTTGTTCTAGTCTCAAATATACTACTGATTTTTTTGGCAAACATTTCGTAATTTAACTCTTAGTTAGATGATCTATTTCAAATTATATTTTGCTTAAGAATCAATTTATACACTTTACATACTTGTAAAAAACAGAAATTCCAGTGATCCATAACAGAACAATTAAATCAGTACATAGAAGAGTTGGGAAATAGATTCTATACATGAAATAAACTACCACTGTAGTTTGAGAATCACAGAGCTAGAAAAGAGACTGAAATATCTCTTACAAAGATATTTTAAATGACAATCTGCTGACCACACCTTAAATCCTTTCTCAAAATTAATTCTAAGAATTTGATAAAAAGACAGATGCTCAGGTCATTTGCTCAGAGGTTCATATACCATAGCTGGAGTTTAACCAACAGTCTGTGTTTTTTAAAAGTCTTGTAGTGATTCCTTTGTAAGAGTAGAATTAAGAATCATTTATTATTTTTAATAAATATGTTGGAGACTCTCATGAAATTGATGGTTTATTCCAACACATAAATTTAAAATAAAAATAATTTATCAATTTTGCTCATTAGGATTATATTTGATGCATTTCAGATATAATTTAGAAATAATTACACATATTCTTTAAATTAGTATAATATTTGCTCACTTAAAAATAATACATGCAAGAGGATACTAAATGGTATGATATGAAAAGTTAAACTCCTTCAAATCTCTACTTTGCAATCTTACATATCAACTTTGAGCTGATTTTAGAAGCTGATTTTTTCAATATTCTATGCTTATGAACAAATATAGTAAAACAAACAGAACAACAACAAAAATGTATTTTTTAAATTCAAGGCTTTTTCTATGTCAGAAACCTCCACTCATCATTAAAAACATTCACAATATCTGCACACTTTTTTTCATAACATAAACTGATTAGAGTATTTCTATACTTCTGTATTTTGATGAACTTTTATATACCGTATGAATCTTCCAATACTAGAAATATGAGCCTGTTTTAAAGATCAAAGATTAATATACTTTGTAATTTTGTAATGTATTTAATGAGCTCCTCATTTATGAATATTTATATTTTTCTACTTTTGATATTAGCATTTTGAATAATGTAAACACAAACATTTTTACTAGTATACCTTTAGATGTATATCTGAAAAATAAGTTTCTACTACTGCTAGGACCAAAGGTTTTTATATTTTAACAGTTGCAAGATACTGACAAATTACCCTTCAAAATATGTCTTCAGATTTTAGACCCTTCTATAAAAAGCACGAAAGTTCATTTTTTCCATACACTCTCAACAATAAGAATGATTATAGAAATGATTTAACTTTTGGCAATCTATGTAAGAGGTGTCTTGTAGTTTCAATTTTCATTGCTATAAGTACAATTGGGCCCCTTTGTATGTTCACTGTTAGTATTTTTGTGTGTGAACTGCCTGTTTGTATGATATTGTAATATGTAAGTGTTCCTATTATACACACACAAAAACACACACATACACAAACACACAGAGTATTTAAAAAAAACAAAAAAAAAACAATCAAATTAGTCACTGTTCTATTACCAATAATAACCCAGAACTTAGAAAATTACATGCTTCATATATTAAAAATATAAGTATTGTGTAATTTTAATTTGGTGGGATCAAAATTTGCCCTCCCTTATATAAGCCTACATAAAATTTCCACCTATGGGAGCATGCCCTATTTCTAATAAAATCTAGATTTAGCGATGTTTGATTCAGCTCTTCTAGCTGTTTGTGCTGATTTAATGAAGAATACTCAATATGCTTATACAAAATGTTTTCTGACAGAAAAAAATAATATTGTTTCCATCTAAAATGCTTTGTCTCAAGGTAAAGAACAGCCAATTTCAGTCTTCTTTAGAAAAAAATAATAGCAATTATATAATAACAACGTGAGAAGTCAGAGGTGTAGCTTACCAGGCTGTATTTCCAGGAGACTGCCTAAAGCCAGGGTTTCCAATCACACCTACCGATCTTCTCTAGGTAGATAAATTGGGTGTCATACACTTTGCTGTGCAGAGAACTTTTTAATGAAACCTTTAAATCAAAGGTTTTGTGACTAAAAATTAAAAGAGAGTTTTACAATGTATATTAATAAAGTAGTTTTACATGGTAGCTGGCACTTCCATAAAAATGGCTTAATATTACCTAATACTTAACACAATATTTTGATTTAATAAATATTTACGAAGCATTCCCTAATCATTTGTTCTCTGGATAGAACTTTATTTGTATGTTATTTTATTCCAAACCACTTTTACTTATATTAAAAATACAAATAAAAAGTGCTTTTAGGGTTAACTGTTATAGCATACTGATAAACAGTAAAATCTCTTACATAGTGGTAGTCACAAAGGCAAAGTTATTTTTAGAAAAAACTAACATCGTGGTTAAAAGAGAATAAAGGAAATTAAAGAGTAAAAATAAGGAAGAAATTTAAAATGTAGAAATATACATACATGTTATGCGTTGGGGAAAATGACATGTTTAAAGGATAAATACAATTGAAATATCTTATTTTATTGTAATTTTGTTTTCCAAAAAAAGGCATTGCTATGATTTTGGAATTTTCTCCATTGAAAAGTAAAGATTACTTGATATTCAAGCATTCTACTCTGGAATCTCCAGTATTGAACTCTTTCTGGCTTGATTATTATACAAATTATTTAACCTAACTAAAGTTCAATCTCACAAGGCTGTTATGAGAGTTAAATTAGACTTGTACATATAGAGGCAGTTAGCATTATGCTTAGTACATAATAAGAGCTTGAAAAATGTTACCTATTATTATCAATGTCGTAAATGGCTTCTGTTCTCTATATGAGAAGCATACATTTTCTGTGAGAGAAAGGGAAGAATTTTGGTATATTTATTGGACGTTTGAATGTCGATATATTTATTAGGTCTGTATAGTTGTAAATGGGTTGTTCAAGTGAGTTTTTTCCTTGAAAGAACGGAGGAGTCTAGAAGGCATGTTTCCGTTTAAAATGAAAGAGATTATAAAGCAGTAAAAATAAAAGACACATAAAGAATTCGAAAGTAAGAATGTGAATTAAGACAAAGGTAATGGGAAGAAAAAATAAAGGGGAGAAAATATCATGAGAAAAATACAGGTAGATTTAATTTTGAAATATTTCCCGCTAAATACTGCATTATGAGAAAAAAGCCAACAGAATATATCACTTTTAAAATTGTATTACATTTTATTATTTGTAGATTATTTTAATCATCCTTTTCTTATGTTTTCTTTCAATAACTATTTGAGTTTGTATGACTGTTATACTTTCTATTTAACAGATGAGGAATAGGGGCTAGAAATTTTAAGTGACATGACCAAGGTTACATCAGAAATAAGCAGCAGGGTCTGAAATTAAATCCAGGTCTTTCTTAGTGCTTTTTTTTTGTGATATCAGGTTGTCTCTTTGTTAATATATCTTATTTAAGTGGATTGTTTCAATGCTTCCTTAACACGTGCCATATACTGAGAAATCAGTTATATACTTTTCAGACATTTTATCATTTAAGGCTTTTAATAATCCTGTGAATATGTGAGAACATATTTGAGAACACAGAAATGCCAGGTAATTTACCCTTAGCTTTAAATAACAGCTTGGGGATCTGAGGTTTGAACACCAATTTGTCTTGCTGCAGACAACACTCCACCTTTCTTTCACACCAGGTTTCACAAATGAATGATTTCCTGTTGACCAGCTCTCATTGGCACCTGTTAGTCACTCCATAAATTCTTGTTAAAAGACTTAAGAAGCTAATGTAGTAATCACTAATGAGTGAATGAGTATACTCCAGTGTAAAATCTCTGCACCTGGACCACAGAGGTCTGGGAACCAAAAGTTAGAGAATTATATAGATGACATAAGGAAAAGATATAACATTCTTATACAACTGCATATCCCAAGTTGCTGCAGTCAGGAAAGATGTTTAATATTGTTACACAGAAACATATTTCTCATCCCTTTTGCCCCAAGAGGAATTCATTCCAAATGTTGGCTTCAGTTAGAAGTAACCCTTTCTGTCAAATTGGAGTGGGCGACAGCTTTCCTATTTGCTCTGGCAAGATAAAGAGCTTTGTAGTTAAATAACCCTGTCTAGAATGTGAGCTTATTCAGAATAAGAACATCTGTTTTGTTCATGCCTATATTCCCAACACCTAGAATATTTACTTCTACATATACAACATCTAGATACAAATACATATATGTTTTGATGAAATATACATTAATTCTGCAAAGATCAACGTAATATAGGAATTTCCCTGATGTTTTGTTTTTCTATGCTTTGTTCAGCTATAAAATGAAAGAAAAAGATGTTTAGTTGCTTTGCATAGGACTGGACTGAAATGTCTTAAAATGCACCAATAAATTTTACATTTACCTTTTTTTCCCATTTATTTAGGATGTCCACAGCTCATCATATTTATTAAAACCTACTAACTCTTTCTATGGACTCAAATTCAATCTATAAGTAATTAATTCTTCTATCTTATTAATTCAGAGTTAAGATTGTAAAAAAATATGTCAGAAAAAATGGGCACCTTTTGTTTTGTTTTATAACTATGATTATGAAGTTTCTCAGGGGCGGAATCACCTTAATTGCCTACTTCATACTTAACAACAGGAAAGACCAGTTTACGACGTGTTAAAGCATTTGAAGATTGTTTATCTTATAATTAGCATTGTCTGTGTGCACTCAACTAAAGACTATTTAAGTTTAGACATATGAAATGTATTCTGTTCCAGTGATCATCAGCTTTTCCAGTACACACAACATCTGCATAATTGATTTAATAAGTTCATCTTACAAAAGAAAAATAGTCATTCTTCCTGTTATTAAAATTATTCATGTAATTTATAGTGTGTAGTAGAAAGTAGCCAAATTTTTATAGATAACTAAAAACTATTATTGATTTTTATTATCTCTACTCTCTGAGATCTGAGAAAAATCTATCTACTGATTTTTTAAAATATTAATAGTAATTTGTATGCCTTTCTGATGTCTGGAGATGACTGGTTTGAAAACAACATCTGACTCATGAAAAAAGTAAAGGTATGTTTGTCATTACACCCCAACTTCTATAAAACACCACTGAACCAGCCTAGCATGTGGGTTTGTCATTTGAAACAATTTACAAATCTTTCATAAAACTATTACTAGAGAAAACTGTGCCTGATAGTAAAGGCCAAGTAGCATCATATGTAATAAAATCCTGAAATGTAATCTTATGAAAATTCTTTTAATCTTTCACTTATTTTCCTTTACAACTACCAACACCTTTATCAGATACTAATTTAATCTATAATACTATCAATTATTTCCTAATTTTTCCCGTGACTTCTGTACCTATCCATCAGAGTATATTCATTTATTCTAGTGTTTAACCGCATTATTGTATGTTCTTATTTTAAACTTCAATATTTCATATGACCTAGAAAGTGTTTGTTGATTTTTTCCTAGACAGATTTGAGAGATAACCAAACTCCTAAGTTTATCGTTATCTCATTTAAGCAGCCATCCACAACTCTACAAATAAGAGAGTTTAAATCACTTAGAAAGTCCTATAAATTATGGCGATGTGCATACTCATCTTTGCCAAATTTAAACTCTTTGCTAGGGCGATGTGTAACTGGTGGCACAAGACCATCTGGAAAATCACAGAATATTCTTCTTCAATCCCCAAAACCTCCACACATATTTCCTGACCTTTACAGCTAGGTGCAACCATATTGATAATAGTTATCACTATAAACTTAAAATTTCATAGCATTTATTAGCTATGTTTTTTTTTATTTCTCCATCTTATGCTAACTTTAATGAATGCATTGTTTTATATAAACAGTAGTTTTGTTTTCACATTTGTGTAACAATCTCTCTGACAGCTTTGAAGTCAATGGTTTTTCAAAGAAACTGGCATCTATCACACAGTTGCACATAAAGTATTTGATTTTTAAAAATATTGAATATATAAGAACATGAGTGTAGTTTTATATCATTCAATTCAAAATATCTGGGCCAAGTAAATAATTTATATGAATACCACGCATTTATCTCAAATGGGACAAGTTCCACATTATTTGGCATAGTTTGATTACGTTAAGATTATTTGGTGGGCACACTTAGAAACTTGAAAAACAAGGCTCCTAAGCAGTCACTTTTTTTGCTTTTGTGGATAAACTTTAGAAATATCCAAACTCCCAAAATTTAACGGAAACCCACAATGCATGTTCAAAGGTCCAACTCTTCTCTTTTTTCTGTCCCTAATACAAATTATTATAAATCTTACTACTCAGATCCCTAGCCTCTCTTTCAGCCTTTTGATACTGTTCGGCCATTAAGCTATCAATATATATCTAACGTGGAGAGGTAGTGTCAAGGAAAATTTTTGCTATCTTGATAAAATGGATAAAATGACCAGGAATGGACTTTTTTTCTCTTTCCTTCTTCTGTTAGCCTCAGTGTTGGATAGGATGATTAGAACTGACAGAATTGTCTTTCAGTCACAAAAACCCACTCCATATAGCAAAATAAAAAAAAATAAAATATACATCATTAACAACTAATTCAGTGTCCACACTTTTCTAACTCTGAGCTACTTGGTTAAACTGCTCTTTGTGAGATTTTTGTCACTCACATTGACAAGTAATTCTACCTGATACATTAACATTGTAATTTGAATGTGATCACTCTGACACTTCTTTAAAATTATCAGCTAAGTTACTTTTATTTTTTTTTTTACATCCTGCTCTCATTCTCCCTCTGAAATATTCAACAGAAATTTTGAAAACAAGATTATTTATTCCAGGAAAATGGTAGTTCAGGGTATCAGAAAGCTACGCAGAATTTCAAAACCTTCGACACGCTTTCCCACAATATAAAAGAAATCGTATGAATCTCCTTTAAAAAATGAACAAGGTAATACTGACATTGACCTGTTCTTGGGCCTCATTTCCCAAGAGTACAGTCATGTTAGATTGAGATGAAAGTTTTCACTTCCTTGCTTTCCAACTTTATGTGTGGGAAATACAGTTTTTCTTGATGCTGCAAAAGGCTACCAACTTAAATCCTTATCTCCTTGTGTGTGATTCAATGACAAGCCTCAGAGAACTAAATAGTGGAAATAATTATAGACAATCCACTCTCATGACTTCAGTGTGGAGTCTGGCAGCATTGGGCCTTTAACTCTCATGTAGTATTTGAAAAAAGCCTACTGTGTTATTTTTCCTTCAAAAAAATTGAAGTAAAAATCATGTGTATTTCTGTAACAACAAAAAAGGAAAATGTGCTTTTGTTTAGGATTTGGTCATTTTTGTCCATAAAACAAGTGTGCATATGACTCTAATTTTTCCTAGGCCAAAATTAAACTTTTACTGAATAGTTTCATGCTGTCTTTTTTGTAACTCTACCCTGAAAAACGCACGTGAAATAATCATCTTAAGCAGTTGCTTTTTCCCCTGAATTTAAAAAGAAACAACAGGTATTCAGGAAGAGTATTTTGACTTTTGAAAACCTTTGTAAGAATTCAAGGCCACGTGTCATTTCAGTGTACCATTAAAAACCCATTTTGATTACAGTAACATTTGTTGCACAGAGGAAAGTAGCATTTAATTTGTTTTCTCATAGTATAGTTCCTACTGGGTGGGTAAGAGACTATTTCTAATTTTGTTTTGTATGAAGCTATTGCTTTTTTGCACTTTGCTTGTGCTGATACAATGATTCTTTTGAGAAATAATGGTAAACTAATACAGATTTTCTCAAAGAAACTGTGTGATATGGTCTGAATGAATTCTTTTTTTTTTTGGCCTGAGAGCCAATTTATTTTTCAGAGTAGAAAAATGAGAATAAAAATATATTCTAGGGACTTTTGTTTGAGACATTATCTCTTTGGCATAGTTTCTTTCAGTAATTATTACCTTTTTATCTTATTTTAAAAGTACAGTCCTTTAAATTATATTTTACTAGTATGGGAACCTTAAAATAAAAGCAAAGTTTTATAGGATATCTTTGGAGGTATTATTTTTTCATCTACTTGGGTAATTTTTAAAATAGGATAAATGAACCAAGAAGGAAATGTCTTTCCTATTTGTATGAAAGTAAATAATAGTACTATGTATTAATGAAAATTTAAGTTGCAAATTAATTATGAATGCTTCAAAATAAACAAAGAAAACTAAAGCAACTTTATCAGAAGCAACAAACCAACATCATCAATTTATCCTATAATCTGTTGTGATTAGGACTGCCAATCTTTAGCCTTAGTTTACTTTGTCGAACCCAATTGATTTATAACAAAAAATTATATTTGAATCAGATTTTTTCCTCTTTAAGACTGTACCGAATACATCAGAACTTGTAGTAATCTACCAAATGTATAAATTATTCTGTTTCCATAAAATTTTTACACTATAGAATATACTTTTGAATTGTTTATTAATTCTAACACTTTACCAAGTGGTAAACTTATCTATGTTTTTTTGTGTATATTAAATGCAAAGAGATCATTACAGTGTTGATATTCAGAGCTTACTGAAGTGGCAGAACTTTTCAATGGAAAGTAATTGCATTTGGTGTACAATATCTAAGATGTTTGTATGTGTGTTTACTTTTTTTTCCACATGTTTATGATAGTCCCACTCCAGGGGACAGTCTTCCAGTATGTGAATCACGAGTGTACCAGACAATCCTCTTATGCTTTTCTGTTTATCAATAAACAGAAACACCTAGGATGGCAAAGGCCACATAGAAAAAGTGTTGTCTGTATGTACCAAGCTGAGAGATTCATATATGTGTTCTTCACCTGTGGTAGAAAATTACCCCAACACATCACAATGAACCCTTCAAGATAATAAATATCTATTCATAGAAAAGCTGGGGAATCCTAATCCACTAATATTGCACCCAATGTAGAAAAGGCAAATGTGCATATGCCAAAAAGTATAAGGTCAATCTTTATTGCTCCCAGAGTTATTCAGTGGTTATGCTAATACCATTTATGAAAAAATACCTGGAATTTCCAAAGATTTGCAATACCATATTGCCATTAGGAAATGCAGATATATAAAGAAATAGGCAGCCATTTCTTGTTAATTTCAATAATTATGTTCTATAAGAAATTCATCACTAAAATTGAATTAGCTAATACTGAAGAACTGTTCCTAAGAGAAACACATGGTTAGGTTCCTGCAAACCTCTGTTCACATTTCCTGCAAGCCTAGTTCAGCATTTTATCAGTTCATCAATAGGCAACTTATTTTATGTATGTTTTTATTTAAAGACACACTTTTAAAGATATGTTGTTGATTTATTAACATTAAACTCAAGTTCAACAGCACTATTACTCATGCCTGAACAAAGCTTATCTAATACAAGCATTTTCTCTGGAAGGCACATCAGAACCTTCTTGCACTCAGGAAGACAAGGCAACACTTCAGTACGATGATTGTGGGCCATGTTAAACAGAAAGTGAACAGCGAAAATCATAAAAGCATGAAACAGAAAATAACAAAGAGTATAAGAACTGGATTTTAGAACTGAAAAAAGAAGATAGTTTGTTATCACTTTGTTCAATATCAGCTGAACATTTGAGCAATGAGTGCCTCAAACTTTACTCTGAGCAAAATAACTGCAAATGAGCATGTAAGTTACATGAATATTCATTTGGGGGTTACAAATTTAGTGAGTAAATGAATGTGGAATCTGCCAATAATGAGGATGAAATATACATAGGTAAACAGATAGTTTTTTGTATGTACGGCAGCAGATAGTTTTTTGTATGTATGGCTTTGTGTTCTATGACATCAATATTTTTAATTTCACAATTCGTAAGACTGTTTTATTATACCTCTTTATACCTATATTATGTTATATAATCTAATTCATTTTATGGTAATTTTGTTGTTAATTTTATTGTTTATAAATGTAAAAGCTGTTAATTATTAAAAATAATATAAAAATATCAAAATGAATAAATGAAATAAACTACACAGACTCTCAACACCTAAAGGTAAAGAAAATTCACACAGTATATAACCATATCTCCAGCTGTTTTACATTAAAATAATCTCTGATATTGGACATTTTTATTGTTCTCCTTTTTCTACTTTATATAAAAATTCATATAATACCTATGTTCTTAATCTTCTATTTTGGATTATTATTTAAATTGATCAGTAAAAGTAAATCAATATTTAATGGTTCTTAACTAAAATAAGATGGTTAAACATATATATATCCTCAAACAGCTGTGTTTAAGTATGCTTCTTTCATCTCACCACTTTTTCCTGTTATTGCATATAATTATTAACACACATGCACACACACACACACACACCCCGCACACACATACACCACTCTGCAAATTAGGTAAATATTAACATTTCTTTCTTTTACAACACTTCTACATAATTTTCTTTAGATTGAATTTTTAAATTATTTTATCTTTTATTTCCACAATTCTGTGAATTATGTATTGGTGTTATTTGCACAATTTTTATTGACAGAATTTTCTTTTCATTCATTTGTATGAACTCCTTTTGAATTATTCCCTTCTTTATACATTTACAGCAAATTATACTATACTATTATATTTTAATATACTGCATTATATTTTAGTGAGTTTATCACTAACATTTTGTAGCTAATTTCCTCTGAATATTCATTTTCTCTATCTTCCTGAAATAAATAGAAATCCATGAATATTGCCCCAAACTTTCTTGTTTGAAATCTTTCCTATCTTAATTAATGGCCTCCAGATTCTCACATTAAAACATTTGAGGTCAATTTTGATACTTCCTTTTCTCTCATACTGCACCTGTAAATTCTGTCAAAACATACTATTACTGCAATCTGTTTCCACCACTGCCACTGCTAAGAATTTACTCTATGTCACCATCATCTCTTACCTGGATTATTGCACTATCTTTGTGACTGATCGTGCTTCCACCTTGGCCTATTTTCCACACAGTTGCCAGCATGATCCTATTAAAACGTCAAGTCAGATCAGATCGACTCTAAAAGCGTTTTATCTGTAAAAACCAAATTTTGAAATGGTTAACTGCACACTACTTAATCTGTAAACTCTTAGACCTTGTCCCTGAGTACGCAACCTCACTGTCACTCTACTAAAGCATATTGGTCTCTATGCTCTTCTTCAATCAGACCAGGCAATGCCTTCATCTTAGTTCCCTTCACTGGCTCTTCCCTAGGCTTGGAATTCCCTTGTGGGTGAGTTCCTTGGAATCACTTGAAAAAAATCCTTCTACTCTTTTATTATTATGCTTATTATTTTAGGTGAATGTAATAAGCATAGGAATATTCTCTATTAAAAATACTTTTAGCGAGAATTATTAATGCTCCTTTAAGAAACTCCTCTTTTTTTTGTTTGTTTTTGTTTTTTTTGTTTTTGTTTTTGTTTGTTTTTTTTTGTTTTTTTTGTTTTTTTTGAGACAGAGTCTCGCTCTGTCGCCCAGGCTGGAGTGCAGTGGCACGATCTCGGCTCACTGCAAGCTCCACCTCCTGGATTCACGCCATTCTCCTGCCTCAGCCCCCCGAATAGCTGGGACTACAGGCGCCCGCCACCACGCCCGGCTAATTTTTTGTATTTTTTAGTAGAGACGGGGTTTCACCATGTTAGCCAGGATGGTCTCGATCTCCTGACCTCGTGATCCGCCTGCCTCGGCCTCCCAAAGTGCTGGGATTACAAGCGTGAGCCACCGCGCAGGGCCAGAAACTCCCTTTTTACTAATGATTCCAAACTGTCTTTTCATTAGACAACCAGGTAATAGTCTTCTAATAACTAATATTCATTCCTGAATACATGATCAAGCTTTAAAAGAGCCTATCCTATTAAGAGATGCATTTTAAATAGAATTGGCTTATAAAAGTTTAATAATTATTATCAAAATATATGTTCTGTGCTGTTTTGATCCATTATACTAGTAATATTTGTAATGGTAACTTAATCCAGAAAATTTTTTAGTACCCAGAGTCATAGCTCATACAAAACTTAAAACATAAACTTTGATCACACAAAACATAAAACTAAAACAATAGTTTACACATTTTGGTGGCAGAAGTTTATAATGAGATAATCCATAACCTTTCAAATATGACTAAATATGATTTCCAAGGAGAAAATGAAAGATAAATTACTTAAAAGTTTTTACTATTAAAGTAGAATATGTTCAAACACATGTAAATGAAATGACAGTGGAAGTGATGGTTAATTTTGTGTATCAACTTTGTTAGGCTGTGGCACCCAATTCTTTGGTCAAATAACAGTCTAGATGTTTCTATGAAGGCATTTTTTTATTCAATTAACATTTAAAATCTATTCATTGTATGTAAGGCAGATTACCCTCTATAATATGAGTGGGTTTTGCTCAATGAATTGAAGGTCTTATAAGCAAAGACAGGTTTCCCAACCCCAGAAAAAGAATTCTGTTTCAAGAGTACAACATAAAAATCTTGCTAAATTTTGAATTTTCCACTGCTTGCCTGCTCTGCAGATTTCAGATTCAAGATTACAATGACTCTTATGCATGTGAATGTATTTACTTATGTGTGTATATACTGTATTAAAAACTCCTTAAGACACACGCATTTAACTTTGGTCAGGTTAACTGATGATTTGTCTATAACATAAAGGGAGGGGAAACATATGCCTTAAGCGTCACCAGTGGTTTAAAACTTTGCCTTTATCTGGAAGGTGAAGACAGAAAAGCAGAATTGCAAACATATATTCATAAACATAAATGATTGTTTAATCCAGTGTGTTGTGAAGAAATTACATGCACCATGTGAAAAAATGCCAGAATATTTAGAGGGAAGACCCCTTCAGAACAGTTTTCTGAAGAAAGTTTGTTTATAGGTGTGCAATATGAAGTGTGCATTGGCAATCAGTTGTGGAAGAATTTGGAGATTTTCTACTGCAGTAATATGGACTTTCAAAATGTTCATTAATTTTAGATTTTAGATGTATTACTTCTATTAAGCAAAAACTGTGTACCACTTATGGAGCATTGTCACAGAAAACTGGGAAGAATTTAAGTATTTAAATTAGTATTGAAGTCTAAGTAATATTTCAAAATATGCAGTGAGTAATGGAAAGTTTTTGTTGTTGGTGTCTGTGACCCAAATAAAATAATTTCATCAATTTTAGACTTGATGAAAAGGAATCTTTTCTTTTGATTTTTGCTTGATATTTCTTGCTGCTCTTTTCGCTGTAATGTTCGTTTTTTTTTTTTTTTCCTCTCTGTCTTTCCGCAGAATGTTGTTCTGTAGCCAGTTTAGAGACATGCCTGGTAATATTAAGTAAAGATTGAGTAGCAGAAATGTAAACTTGCATTTTATTTTAGGTAAAGTATATGCAGATTAACTGCCATTTGGGGTAGTGGATTCCTAAATGTACACCTGCTAACCATTATTTGATTATTTTCTCCAGTTAATATTTTGTGATTTAATGATTCAACATATATTTATATAAATTATTCCACTAAAGAATAATAATGTATGGACAAACATTAGGCAAATTTTATTACACTAAAATAATAGTTTAAATTTAAATATGCTAAGTATCACTGAAAATATATTTTATTTGCTAGTTTTTAAAATGTTAAGAAACTTTCCCTTTTACTTAAGTGCCACATTCATGTATGTATGCAAACACGTAAAAAAACCTCAAATAAATTACCTACCAATAAATCTTGCCCAGTTTGAAAAGCTTCGTTGTGACACTATCATCTCATAATAAATATGGAGGAATATAGTTTTATGTCCCACTGAAATAATGCCAACTTTCTATCAGCTCCCAGGAATTGCTTTATTTGTAATTCAGAGTGAATGATGCCACCTCACGATTTCCTATAAAATCTCAATTTTTCTTGAAGAACTTTTATATAAAAACTGACAGATTTGATACTGCTGTTTTATGACATGACTAAATCAGAACTCATAGTGGCATGTTTGAATGCAAAATAATATTGCTATAATACTGTATGCCTTGATTTACTTTTACATTTCATTCCTCATTTTGTATCTATCTATCTATCTATCTATCTATCTATCTATCTATCTATCTATCTATCTATCTCTCTCTCTCTCTCTGTCTCACACACACACACACACACACACACAACCAAATTCAGGGTAATGTTGACTTTAATGTGTTATAGTACTAGACAGTATACCTGAAAGCAGTTGTATAATATATAACTGAATGGTGCTTGAATGTTTACAGACATTGCTCACGTTTATTTCCTAAATCATTTATTCTATGTGTAGAGAAAAAATTGGCTTTTGTATATTAAATTGCATCTTAAAGTAAATAATTTCAAAACAATCATCTTTTTCTCTAGTACAGAAGCACTATATAAATTCTCTGTATATTTGCCACTCATAATTGTTTACCAATGTTTAACCTCTCAAAATATAAATTTTTAAAAGCACACATTTAGATATTCACTGAATCTAGAGTGTATATTGATTTTTTGTATAATATTTATAATATATGACTTCTTAATTGGCTTCTAACAAAATATGTGATGACAGGTACGAGGGAGTCTCACAGCGTAAGATATACTGCTGCTCTCCATATATTTACTAGTTGGTGCAGAGGTTATCAATAAATTTTCTGTCTGAATACAATTGATCTGGCCAGTGCCATTTCATGAATAATGCTTAGACACTGTTGTGTTACCTTTCTCAAATCCAATGGGGTTGAAGGAATACTCTTGGCTTGGTGCCTCTATTGGATAAAATATCATAATCTCCATAGGGGTATTTTTTAGTGTATTGTGTTGCTATAAATGATTACATAAGGCTGCATAATTTATAAAGAAATAAGTCTTATTTAGCTCA
The DNA here is from genome assembly GCF_000001405.40 of Homo sapiens. NCBI lineage: Eukaryota > Metazoa > Chordata > Mammalia > Primates > Hominidae > Homo > Homo sapiens. The sequence goes on from NC_000003.12 coordinate 83,791,852, forward strand.
CCATTCTGTGGCTGGAAGGTTCATGACTGGGCATTCGGTGAGGGACTGAGGCTGCTTCCACTCATGTCAGAAGACAAAGGGGAGCCCCCTGTACAGAGACTACAAGAGAAGAGAAGAAGCAAGGTAGGAGAAGATGTCAGGTTCCTTTTAACAACCAGCTCTCTTGAGAAGTAATAGAGTGAGAACTCCGTCACCTCCAAGGGAACACATTAGTCTATTCATGGGGGATTCCCTCTCCCCAGTGACCCAAACATCTCCCATTAGGCCCCACTTTCAACACTGGGGATTAAATATCAACATGAAGTTTGCAAAGGAAAAACGTCAAAACCATAATAGATATGTAGTATGAAATTCATTTATCCTGCACACCTTCTGGAAATTCCTGGCCAATGACACACAGCTCTACATCTTGTGGGGACAACATGCGTTGAAATGCACTATGTAGAGAAGGAGGTGTGACATTCTAAATGATGCAGCCAGGACAGAACAGAGAGTTCAAGGCATAAGAATAATTATGATGGATGATTCAAAGAATAAATAAATGGTTTCAAAGTGAAGTATTCGTACCACAAAGGAAAAGAAGGGACACGGAGTGAGGATATATTACAGGTTCTTAGTAATGGGAATCTTTTTGTTGGGATGGTGGGAAAAAATATTTTTTTAAAATATTTTTTAAAAATATTTTTAGTTATTAGGTAAAGTTGGGATGTTTCTCTGTCGAAATGGCGGGGGGAAAGAGGGAGAAAGTGGATAGAATGACAAACTGATAAATTATTGAAACTTTCTTTGATGTAATGCTAAAATGTAATGACGATAAAGTGAACAGAAAGAAAAACTACCTATGAAAAATATATAAAAGAAAAAAGTAAGTTAGAAGGTTCAAATTAGGAATGAATAAATACAAACTCGGAGATGGTTAGAGATGGAATTTAGAGTTGTCGTGAACAAATACACATATAAAATTGTACAGTATTGTATTCAAGTGAGGGGCTAATGGATACATAGTCTTAAAGCTAAAATTTAGAAACTGGAGACTTGTTCAATATTCATTGACCATATGTAATTGCTACATTATTACCTTTACTATTTTTGTAGGGTCTGAGACGTCTGGCCAGAGGGTAGGAGAAAAAAGAAATCCCTGAAAACGTGTCCTCAGTGGTACTTTCATGGATAGTGTTTTAAAGTATGCATCCAGATGTCATCTCTGCATCATAACAAATCAACCCAACTTTTGGAATTTGGGATATGATATATAGTTATTTCTGAGGTTCTTTCTCTCTTATCAACGTTATGCTGTGTGGACAAAGTAAGCTCAAGTATTAGGAGTGATGGTTCAATTTAATTTAACTTCCAGTTAAGTACAACAATCCAAATGAGTTCTGGCCGAGGGCAAAGGAAGCATGGAATAGAGAAAAGAGGAGCAAGAGAGAAATACATGTATAGCCTTGTGAAGAGTTACAGAGCATGAAGCAATCACAAAATTATGTGTCTATTTTGTTCATTCTTCATCACATGGTGTAATACATGGACTGGGTTTAGTCACTTATTAGGAAAAACATGGCTGAAAATCTTAGTGTTTTCAACATAGATGGAATATTTTTTCTCAGCTGCCTAATTACACGTAAGTACGTCTGTGTGTGTGTGTATCTGTCTTTGTGAATTAATGATAGATATGTTTTAAATTATGAACAAAATATATGATACACATGAAGTCTACACTGTTTACTCACACATTAACTAAATCAATGAGTCATTAAAGAAAAAAAGTAGTTTTCACACTTATATATTTCATACTTTGTGTCCCTCAAAGTATCTAGCACAGCGCCATTAATAAACTTGATGAAACTGTGAGAAATGAATAAATGCATATTGTCTCACTGTGAATGAAGTGATATGCCTTGAAGATAACTGTCTAGCATTCAAAGTGAAGTCTTTTAAAATATAAAATGCTGTGCTTTTTTTGTGAGGTGGCCTGTTAGCTATATGACTTTAACTTAAACATGACTGCTATCACAAGAATGGCAAGAGATTGATCTTTGTGTGCTTTGTTGGCTGGGACCAGCTCACCAAATGTCTTTGTTTAAATTCCTTCAGTGATTAACAGACACAAAAAAGTATATAGGTCAATTAGCAATGCCTGCCATGTATTCCATAGATCCATTAGCAATGCCTGCCAGGTACTCCAGACACGGGAGAGGTGGCATGCATGTTTGCTGACCCTGATCTAATTCATTTATATAGTACTTGCTTTCATAATATTTCACATTGTAAATTGGGCTTCTTATGATTAAAAAGGAGGTTACTGAAGAGAGAAACAATATAATAATTGAGCTAGAAGCAAGACTTGGAGAAAGGGAGATACAATTAGCCTTTTGGGACTGGTGGAAATGTTAGAATATATGAGCAAAGGTAAGTGCAAAAAATGAGTATGACTATAACATATTACACATTGGACATTAATATCAAATATAAGCAGGGCCCATCTAGAAATAAATAGTTTTCTTGAGAGTACTTCTAAATACCTTTATCGCCTGGCTCTGTGCCCCAAAACTCTCATTACCCCAGTTTATCTCCTCTTCTATGACTATTTTTTCTCTCTCTTCATCTACAACTCTTCAAAAAAAGGTAATTGGTGATTGCTGCTTCCCTTCTTCTTTCTCTGTTCTTACTAAACCATTGCTGTTTTAATAAATTAGAAACAAAATACTCTGTTCTTCTCAACTATATTTAGTGAGCTACAAATATTTGATAAGATTCCTCTAAGTGTGGAACATTAAGACTCATCCTCACTGAGTTCACTTCCCAATTGGGTTTTTAGAAATGCAGAGATTTAGCTACACAATGTTCAAGTAAAAGACTGTCAACACACACTTTTGAAGCTATAAATGGTACTTCAAGCATTTGGAAAAGCTTTAGTGTTAATCAGTGACTAAAAACTGACCTTGATAAATTGCTTAACCATTCTTACTAATTACACAATACATATCCATTGATGAGTTTATGGGCTTTGCCCATCTCCAAAACCAACCAGAACCTCCTTCAAGAAAAGACTATTGCAGTTCCTTCCAGTACTTTAATTCATTCTTGTCTATTGTCTACTTTAGGCACTATCTCAAGAGACATTTTCAAAAATGCAAAGTACTCATTTGCCACTTACAGAGAGTATATGTATGTGACATTGACATAAGGTAGGTGTCCTAAAATTTTTGTAACAGACACAAAAAATTTTGTCTACTCTTCAGAATAACTCGGAAGGAGACAGACTGCACACTTGATGCATTTAGATATAGAAAATTAAAGAACATGATTCACAAAATTCACAAATTCAAGAAGTTATCATAACATGAGATCTGCAGATGCAAAAGGCAAGCTTTTATTTTCAGAGAAACAATCTATAGATTGGGGAGACTCAGCCTTAGGTGCAAGCAAAAGTGCACTGCAGAGAACAAACGGAGGGTTTGATTTTTTCAATAGAGAAAGCTCCTGCTCTAGTTTCCCATCAGGTTTGTTTTCAGAAATGTTGGATTCAAACTTGTTACAGCTGAGTCCTGATTGGTCAGGGAAGCAGAGTCCTGATTGGGTAATTTTCAAGTCTGGAACCACAAACCCTTTTTGATTAAAGATTTCCAGGTGATTGGGAATTTTTAGCCCTTGGTCACCAGGGCTACTCCTGCTCAGGATTGTACAAGCAGAATATTTGTCAAGGGCTGTGTTTTCTTCCAAGAACACAGTGTGTGACCCCTTTCTCACCTCACTGTGGCTGCCGGGTTCTGTTTTAAAATTTGAAGTGTCTCTGTTAGCCATAGAGTATCCATTTTGCCGAGATATTTTGGGTCTTTTCACAAATATAATGTCATTTTAAAAAAATGATATGTTTTTATTACTGTTCTCATTTTCAAGTAATCTGAAAGGTTTCTCTGAGAGTGATTTAATGAGATCAAGTGGCTGAGTAGTGGAAATAGCAATACATTTGTTGTTCTATGATTTACAAATCACTGTCACCTAAAAACCTGTACAGGAAATAATACATTTTGCGTTTGTTAGGAACCACAATAGAGATTTATTAAATTTGAGTGATGTACCCAAAGTAACACAATCACCAAGTCAAGAAATAAACAGTAAAATAAGCATGTTTCCATTTATTGTCATGCACTCTTCCTATTACACTGTGGTGCCTTTTATTCTTTTAAAGAATAAAAATATCAAAAATTATTTTGCAATAATTGCCCTAATGCAAATATTGCCCGTTGATAACATCATATGAGTTGCCAGTATAAAGAATATTTTACATTGACTGAAATTGAGTTAGGAACATTTCAAAGAGTAAATCGTTCTCTTCAAATCTGAATCAAATGTCAAAGGTTCATGACTTTCCTTAACTTGTTTTTCAAATGAAGAACCTTAAAATGTTTGAGTTTGTGAGCATTTTGTAACATTTACTTAAATCTTATAGTTTATGCTTGTTTCAACTACAAAAAACAAATCAAAACAAACAACAAAAAAGAGTAGTAAGTATTTCACCATGGAAGAAATCATCGATAAAGCCTGGTGTGTGTGAAGGTGTGGTTTCACAGATTCAAATGTCATTGAAAAAAAACTTCAAAAGAGAAAATTCATTGAATTACATCGGGGAATTACATTCAGATATTAGTCTTAATAACACATTTGGATTTTATTTGATAATAAAATGTGGATTTTAATGTCATTCATTTTTAAAGACATCTACTATTTCTCTAAGAACGTTATAGAATTAAAAAAAACTAGCATGACCACAAGTTAAGAATAAACTAAAATGTAAATAGATAAGCATACTAGCATTGAAATAAATAATCTTTAGTACAATGGTCTTTCAATTTTTTGTCATGTTATATTTCAGTCAGGAGAAAGCTTTTGAGACCATGGTCCCATAACTATGATTATTCATTAAATAACTTTTTCATGTATTTTTTTAATTGCAGTACTTGGGATACTATGAAACACACAGAGGTAGAAATAGGTAAGGTTTATTCAATATCCTCAGTTTGCACATATTCTTCCTTGGAGACTACTACTCATGTATGACATACACAACAATATTAGATGATGAAAAGACATCTTATCATAGGGTATTTTGTAGCCCTAGGTTTGTAAATCATTCAACGGGACCTAGAACATTTTATTGTTGTTTTCAAGACACTGAAATCTATTTAAATGGGGTAAGAGAGGCTTTTTCGCCTATAGGTCTTTCTATGAAAAATTTCATTCCCAAATAAATGAGTAGATGTTTTTCTAAATGTATTTTTTAGCTTCTGAGCTCATTTTAGCTATAACTAGCGATTACTCCTGCAGGTAAACATAAGAAGCAGTGATATTCTGAGGCACAGTGCCATGGAATTCTGTCAACTCATCAAAGAATATTTGGGATAATCTTTAATGGGAAAAGTTAAAATATTTGATCATTCTCATTTTATATGTGGAACAACTAAAGTCTGAGTAGGTTAACATCATTGGCCAAAAGTTGGTTTTATATAAAGATACATGACCACCTCAAAAATGGTGAAAGAAAAATTATTAAGTGTCTCGGTCCCTCAGATTGGTGGATGCTCTCTTCCTCCTTACCATAACAGAAAACCTGTCAAAATTGAAACATCATTGATGACTAAAGGCAAAAAACTCTTGATATATTGATCTCAGCCCAGGATCAATTGTAAGAATTGTATCAACTTAACTCTTACTATGGCATCCTGTGCCTAGAAGAAATATAAACTTCTCAGTAAACTTTCTGTATTCATTTCAGAGACCACTTTGTATTGCTGTTTCTTGCTTAGTTATATTTCAACAGGGAGCATGACTACATAAAATGAAAGTCAAAGTAAGGTTTGCTTTTCTAGCAAGTACACGTACTAGAAGATTGACTTGGGCTCATTTTGCTACTGCTGATGTTGCCTTTTCTAATTCACTTTCCACAGTTCTGATGTCTGGAAAATACATGATTTACTCAGGATTTGTATGAAATGGAGGTAGAAACAGGAAGACACAGATAATAATATTGCCTGCCACCAACAGTTCATGAAAATATCCTTTCAGTGGACAGTGATCTACATTAGCATCAGAGACACATATAGAAATACATTTCAACATTGTCTTTGAAGCAAATATAGGGAATAAAAATTTCATGTTTTTAGACAAAGGGAGAATATAAACAAAAATTCCACAAAGTATTAATATTGTCAACAAGATGAATAATCCACTTGTCAATTAAAGGGACTTTGCATGGAAGATGCAAATATTTTAATCTTGAATTACTGTTTATTTTGTTCCTTTAGACCCACAGAGATTGGTTTGTGTATCTTCTTTCAAAATAGAGACCCCAGTCTCCTTTGTGGTAAAATCTTTGAAATATATATATACATATATATGTGGATGTATTTGTGTTTATATGTGTATACATACATGATATATGTATTTGTATATGTATGTATACATATACATATATACAACCTTTGAAATAAATATCTTTGAAATAGAAATATATATATTTGTTTATATATGTATATATATGTATATAGACATGTATACAAATACACACACATATATACATTTTATATATATAATAACAAGAATATTTAGACTTTCATATAAAGGTTTCATAGAAGTCATGGAGTCAAATGTACTTCAATTTAAAAATGAACTGGCTTTATTATAGATATTGACAAACAGCCTATGTTGAATGTTTATTTTATGAAAGTTTCAATGTGATATATAGGTTTATTTTACTGGAGGTATATTTAATTTAGAAAAATGTTTATGTGTACAGATATTCCTGATCTATCACTATAGCTATATTGATTAGAAATAATCTAATTTCTGGATTATTAAATTTAATTACTTACTATAAAATGAAGGCTATCAACAGGTAGTTGTCACCCAACTAGATGTATTTGCAGTTCTTGCTAACTTCACATCTGGCATAAACTATTCTAAAAAATAAAATGACCCATTAAGTAGCAGCATGTCTTCTGAATACTCCAAGATCAAACTCATCTCAGTGATAATATTTCATTTGCTTTTGAGTACAGGTTAGGAAAACGTTTCCACGTTAAACATTGTTAGTTTTAGCTTAAAAGTACAGAAACATTTCCAGGTAATAATACATGTTTACCAAGCTGCACTGCCTCAAGGCTACACCACCTACACCATACAGAGCTGATCAAATGAAATCATCATTCTTTACAACAGGCCTGTCAAAAAATGTTCACTGGAATAGTACTGTCAGGTTACCTGAAATAAAGTATGCTGGAGTCCTTGCACACGGCATTCTAGATTTCTACTCTGTGGTCACCCTATGCCATCCTCCAAATTCCTGCCCCTGTGGAACTCACAAAAGCTAGGATCAAAGCAGACCCTGTCAGCTGATCAGTGATATCTCAACCTCACTCATTTGGTATAATGGAATGTAGGCTACATTTTTACACAAGAGTAACAAGCATTTAAGAATAAGCCTTTGCAATGGAAGAAATATTTCAATGCCACTTTGATGACTTAACTAAAGGACTCTGTGTTGCATTTTTATCTTAAACTTGAACCCACTCTTTCAATCTAAGGCAGGTATTCACATAATGATAAATGCAATTTTAATTACATGGAATAATTATTTTAAAAATCCAGGCATTCAATTTCCAAATATCTGTTTAGAAAAACAGTTACTATTGCGAAACTTGTTTTTCTTCTATAGCTTATATGGAAGGAACTAGAATTATATAATTCTGGGTTTATAGCTTGCTTTTCACTCCTTTCTTTGCTTTACATTTTTTCTTAATTCATTTTTTGTCCTTTTTGCTTTCCTGCAAATTATACTTCTAATTTGCTCATGAAAATTTTCCCATTGAATTAATAATATATCTATTAAAAATAAAAAATCTCATATAAATCAGATTGTCAAGAGTTTTAGATGTGTTCTGCTGACACAGTCCTATATCCTTTCTTTGCTAGACTACTTTTTAGTTGGAAAGATATGTTGGCCAATAAAGTCATTTGAAATGCAGTATTGTATCTTAAATTTTTATTTTATCTAAAATTCTATGAAAATAAAAGGTATTTAAATAAGACAAACAAGTGAAAAATGAATTATTTTCCTTCTAGGTAAGAATAGATAAGCATATGTTTTAACTGTTAGCTATTTAAAATATATATGCCAAATCAGAAGCAGGTTCCATATAGAGTTTTCCACCTACTAGGCAGTCTATTTTGTAGGGTGGTCAGCGTATGTGGTAAATCACAAGTCATAAATGTGAAAATACCACTTATTCTCACTGTATGAAGTGTTCAAGCTAAAACTGTTCTAAAATGCCATATTTCTACACTGTTGTTGATTCAGTAACACTCAAAAGCCTAGTAGTTTTTTAAATGTGAGAAGAGAATCTTAATACCCATCTTGAATGCAAAAGCCTATAAACTGAAATTAAATGATTCGATAAATAAATTATTGAAGAAATCTACTAAGAGAACACATTGAGGATTCATGCATCTTTAAGAATATAAAAATACTGAACTACAGGGACATTGTTATATAAAACAGTTTATATAACAATTTATAATCCAATTGTTATTATTATGTGAGTTTTGCTAACTCTGGAGATTCTCTACTCTTCAGCAAGCACTTAGCTATGTTATGAAGTGTGATTGTGGTTAGTAACTGACATCTTTCCCTGGTCCCACACATAACCATGTTAAAATTTCCTAAGTCTTACATTTAGGGGAACATTGCAAGAGAAAATTTGCATTATGTTGATCTCATCTTAGATATTTGATTTACTTATAGTGCATCAAATAAAATTTGACCTAGGAAAATATACACCAATATACACAGTAGGTATCATGTACTTTTAGAAAACCATAAAAAATATTGTCAAGAGTTCTCATTCACTTTATCGGGGCAAGCGTGAGGTTCTAATTTCTTATTTGTTTTCAACTCATTTTTAATTGTCAGTTACTAGGTCCTGTATGGATATCTCAGTGTTTCTCAGTTTGATGCAATGTGCAGCTTTTCCTTTCTGAACTCATATGTGGAGGCTAATGTAGACTTGCCTAGGCAAATATTTGGTGCTTTGAGCCACCCTTTAAATAAATACAGGCATACATTGAAGACATTGTGGATTTGATTCCAGATCACTGCAATAAAGTAAGTATTGCAATAAAGCACATCACACTAATTTTTCAGTTTCTCAGTGCATATAAAAGTTATGCTTATGCTATACTGTAGTCTACTAAGAATGCACTAAGTAGCTTTATGTCAAAAATAAAAAAGTATATATCTTAATTTTAAAAATAATGTATTGCTAAGAAATATTAACAATCATCTAAGCCTCTAGTGAGTCATAATCTGTTTGCTGGTGAAGGGTCTTTCCTCAATGTTGATGGCTGCTGACTGATCAGTGTGGTAGTTGCTGAAGGTTAGGGTGGCTTTGACGGTTTCTTAAAATAACACAACGATGAACTTGGCCATGTCAATTGACTCTCGCGTTCATGAAAGTTTTTTTTGTAGCAATGCAATGCTGTTTGATGGCTTCTTACACACTGAAGAGCTTCTTTCAAAATTGAGATCAGTCCTCTCAAAATCTGCCATTGTCTTATCAACTAAATTTATGTAATATTTTAAATCCTTTGTTGTCATTTCAACAATGTTCAAAATATCTTTACCAGGAATAGATTCCATCGCAAAAAGCCACTTTCTTTTGTTCATCCATCAGAAACAACTCCTCATCCGTTCAATTTTAGCATAAGATTGCAGCAACTCAGTCTCATCGTTAGGTTCCACTTTTAATTCTAATTCTCCCACTATTTCTAACATATCTATAGTTCCTTCACCAAACTCTTAAATTCCTCAAAATCATCCATGAGGGTTCAATCAAATCAACTTCTTCTCCTGTTAATGTTGATATTTTAACCTCCTCCCATGAATTGTGTATATTCTTTTTTTTTTTTTTTTTTTTTTTTTTGGTGGAGTCTCACTCTGTCGCCTAGGTTGGAGTGCAGTGGCACAATCTTGGCTCACTGCAACCTCTGCTTCCTGGGTTCAAGCGATTCTCTTGCCTCAGCCTCCCGAGTAGCTGGGACTACAGATGTCTACCACCACACCCAGCTAATTTTTGTACTTTTAATAGAGAGGCGGTTTCACCATGTTGACCAGGCTGGTGTCGAACTCCTGACCTCAGGTGATCCACCCACCTCAACCTCCCAAAGTACTGGGATTACAGGCATGAACCACTGCACCCAGCTGAATTGTGTATATTCTTAATGGCATATAGAATAATGAATACTTTCCAGAAGGTTTTCAATTTGCTTTATTCAGATCCACCAATGGAATCGCTATCTATGACAGCTGTAGCCTTATAAAATGTATTTCTTAAGTAAGACTTTAAAGTTAAATTTACTCCTTGATCCATGGGCTGCAGAATGGATGTTGTGTAAGTAGGTAGGCATGAAAACATTAATCTTGTACATTTCCATTGGTGCTCTTATGATGACCAGGTACATTTTCAATAAGCAGTAATATTTTGAAAATAATCTTTTTTTTTAACTAAGCAGGAGGTCTCAACGGTGTGCTTAAAATATTTAGTAAACCATGCTGTAAACAGAGGTGGTGTAATCCAGGCTTTGTTCTATTTAAGGAGCACAGGCAGAGTAGATTTAGTATAATTCTTAAGGGCCCTAGCATTTTTGAAATGGTAAATGCACCTTACCTTCAATGTAATGCCATCAACTGCATTCGTCCCTGACAAGAAAGGCAGCCTGTCTTGCAAAGTTTTGAAGCCAGGTACTGTCTTCTCCTCTGCATCTGTGAAAGTCCTGGATGACATCTTCTTCCAACAGAAGGCTGTTTCTTCTGCATTAAAAATCTGTTGTTTCGGATAGCTACGTTCATCATTGAAATTAGATAGATTTTCTAAATAACTACTTGCTGTAGCTTCTACATCAACACTTGCTGCGTCACCTTGTACATTTATGTTATGGAGTTGGCCTCTTTCCTTAAACCTCATGAACTGATCTCTGTTAGCTGCCAGCTGTTCTTCTGCAGCTTTCTCACCAATCTCAGCCTCCAAAGAACTGAAGAGAGTTAGGGCCTTGCTCCAGATTTGGCTTTGGATTAAGGGAATGTTGTGACTGATTTGATCTTCTATCCAGACCAACAAAACTTTCTCCATGAGAGCAAAAACCTGTTTTATATTCATATCACTCATGTGTTCACTGAGAAACACTTTTAACTTCCTTCAGTAACTTTTCCTTTGCATTCACAACTTGGCTAACCGATTGGCACAAGAGGCCTAGCTTTCAGCCTGTGCTGGCTTTAGACATGCCTTTCTCACTAACCTTAATCATCTCTAGGTTTTTATTTAAAATTAGAGACATGTAACTCTTCCTTTCACTGGAAGGCTAGGGGCCATTTTAGGGTTATTAATCGGCTTAATTTCAATATTGTTGAAAAATGCAATGTCTGCAAAGCACAATAAAGTGAAGCATAATAAAAAAATTATGCCTGTAGAAGCTTCTTTAAAGCCTCTCAAAATCAATGGTAATGAATCACAGTTTAAAAATATATTTCTTGCTAATCTCTTGATATTACTCCTAATGACAAATACAAATCACAAATTCTTAATTTCCAGACAAAATAGGTAAGTAATGGGATTTTTTGGTTCAGGCTAGCTCTGTTGTTCTTCTTCCCCCCCTTTCAGGCTCTATGATTCTAATTATTCTCAGTTTGATTGAGAGGTGTGTTTTCTCCTTATTGCTCAAATAAAATTCTCATCATTGTAAATGAAATTCGTTCAAGTTTAAATTAGGTAACAGATTCAAATAATAGTTATATTATGAGGTAGAGTAGTTTCATTATTTACTTCCCCCAACACCCCCAGGATAGGAGAAGATATATACAAAAAAGTTAGAACACTAAAATAAACTTGTGAAGCCTCTTATTCATAAATTTGCAAAGACTAGATCTATTATTAAGAATGTATAGTTTTCTGAGCTTATTTATATAGTGTCAGAGGTGATAATGTTGGATAATATTGTAAATATTAACTCACCTGGTAGAATACATTTTTGTTCAAAACAAAAAATCTTATTAGAAAATAGATTATATGGCCTTTTTTTTTTTTTTTTTTTTTTTTATTATACTCTAAGTTTTAGGGTACATGTGCACATTGTGCAGGTTAGTTACATATGTATACATGTGCCATGCTGGTGCGCTGCACCCACTAATGTGTCATCTAGCATTAGGTATATCTCCCAATACCATCCCTCCCCCCTCCCCCGACCCCACCACAGTCCCCAGAGTGTGATATTCCCCTTCCTGTGTCCATGTGATCTCATTGTTCAATTCCCACCTATGAGTGAGAATATGCGGTGTTTGGTTTTTTGTTCTTGCGATAGTTTACTGAGAATGATGGTTTCCAATTTCATCCATGTCCCTACAAAGGATATGAACTCATCATTTTTTATGGCTGCATAGTATTCCATGGTGTATATGTGCCACATTTTCTTAATCCAGTCTATCATTGTTGGACATTTGGGTTGGTTCCAAGTCTTTGCTATTGTGAATAGTGCCACAATAAACATACGTGTGCATGTGTCTTTATAGCAGCATGATTTATACTCATTTGGGTATATACCCAGTAATGGGATGGCTGGGTCAAATGGTATTTCTAGTTCTAGATCCCTGAGGAATCGCCACACTGACTTCCACAATGGTTGAACTAGTTTACAGTCCCACCAACAGGGTAAAAGTGTTCCTATTTCTCCGCATCCTCTCCAGCACCTGTTGTTTCCTGACTTTTTAATGATTGCCATTCTAAATGGTGTGAGATGATATCTCATAGTGGTTTTGATTTGCATTTCTCTGATGGCCAGTGATGATGAGCATTTCTTCATGTGTTTTTTGGCTGCATAAATGTCTTCTTTTGAGAAGTGTCTGTTCATGTCCTTCGCCCACTTTTTGATGGGGTTGTTTGTTTTTTTCTTGTAAATTTGTTTGAGTTCATTGTAGATTCTGGATATTAGCCCTTTGTCAGATGAGTAGGTTGCAAAAATTTTCTCCCATGTTGTAGGTTGCCTCTTCACTCTGATGGTAGTTTCTTTTGCTGTGCAGAAGCTCTTTAGTTTAATTAGATCCCATTTGTCAATTTTGTCTTTTGTTGCCATTGCTTTTGGTGTTTTGGACATGAAGTCCTTGCCCACGCCTATGTCCTGAATGGTAATGCCTAGGTTTTCTTCTAGGGTTTTTATGGTTTTAGGTTTAACGTTTAAATCTTTAATCCATCTTGAATTGATTTTTGTATAAGGTGTAAGGAAGGGATCCAGTTTCAGCTTTCTACATATGGCTAGCCAGTTTTCCCAGCACCATTTATTAAATAGGGAATCCTTTCCCCATTGCTTGTTTTTCTCAGGTTTGTCAAAGATCAGATAGTTGTAGATATGCGGCATTATTTCTGAGGGCTCTGTTCTGTTCCATTGATCTATATCTCTGTTTTGGTACCAGTACCATGCTGTTTTGGTTACTGTAGCCTTGTAGTATAGTTTGAAGTCAGGTAGTGTGATGCCTCCAGCTTTGTTCTTTTGGCTTAGGATTGACTTGGCAATGCGGGCTCTTTTTTGGTTCCATATGAACTTTAAAGTAGTTTTTTCCAATTCTGTGAAGAAAGTCATTGGTAGCTTGATGGGGATGGCATTGAATCTGTAAATTACCTTGGGCAGTATGGCCATTTTCACGATATTGATTCTTCCTACCCATGAGCATGGAATGTTCTTCCATTTGTTTGTCTCCTCTTTTATTTCCTTGAGCAGTGGTTTGTAGTTCTCCTTGAAGAGGTCCTTCACATCCCTTGTAAGTTGGATTCCTAGGTATTTTATTCTCTTTGAAGCAATTGTGAATGGGAGTTCACCCATGATTTGGCTCTCTGTTTGTCTGTTGTTGGTGTATAAGAATGCTTGTGATTTTTGTACATTGATTTTGTATCCTGAGACTTTGCTGAAGTTGCTTATCAGCTTAAGGAGATTTTGGGCTGAGACGATGGGGTTTTCTAGATAAACAATCATGTCGTCTGCAAACAGGGACAATTTGACTTCCTCTTTTCCTAATTGAATACCCTTTATTTCCTTCTCCTGCCTGATTGCCCTGGCCAGAACTTCCAACACTATGTTGAATAGGAGCGGTGAGAGAGGGCATCCCTGTCTTGTGCCGGTTTTCAAAGGGAATGCTTCCAGGTTTTGCCCATTCAGTATGATATTGGCTGTGGGTTTGTCATAGATAGCTCTTATTATTTTGAAATACGTCCCATCAATACCTAATTTATTGAGAGTTTTTAGCACAAAATATATGGCCTTTTAATATACCCTTTGCTTTTGAACATACTTTCCTTTTAGTTGTAGCATTACCAGAGTTCTTATTAAATGCAAAATAAAATCACTAAAGCTATACTTTGGTGATAAAGTTTAAACTTAATTTTAAGTAGTCTATATGTGTTTATTATTGAATAATTCTATGCATCTGCCAATCTGTCATGTGGTCTATGTGATACATTTATGATCACGTTATAAAGATCAAAGAGCATACAAAAAGAACATTTGTACTTGGCATGGTGCTGATTATAGGAATTTATATTAGTATTGAAAATTGGTAAGTTCAAGATGGGTAAAGAGACTGGAGAAATCTTCATAGATGAATTAAACCCTACTGTCATAAAAATAGGAAACACTTGCTAAATATTTATTAACATAAAATTAGGCACACTCTTGTTAAATCTCTGACCTAGATCATTGCAGGAACTTTAAAATGATCTCCCTGACCATTTTTACCTCCTGTTCATCCGCTGCACTACTGATACTAGAGACCAAAATTGACGAGGCCATTTCCAGTTTTAAGTACTCTTGTTTTCTGTCTGCAGAATATAAAATAGAATCCAATGTCTTCAGTGAAAATTATAAAGAACATTTACGTCTTACCCCTGGCTAAATTTTAGTTCTATTTACTTGCAATTCCTGACTATCAAGACTATTTCACATAGCAGCAGCTCAGATAGCATCTCCACTGAAAAATATTGGTTGGTTCCACAAGCTTGAATCTACTACTCTCTTCAGTGTTTCTAAACTTTTGGGTAAGACCAATATTATATAACCTAATTTATTATATTCTAATATATGCACATATGTATATGTCTTCTTGATTTCATTGTCTTCTTGATTTCAAGGAGCAGCAGTGGTACCATGAGGCTGAGAAGATATTTGCCTTTCTTTGACTCCAGGATTAGTTCTCCTTTGCTAACATCTTAATATCTTCTGGTAATGGCCCTGTGGGTGGGAAGAAGAGGCTCTCTAAACCTGGGTCTTGTTGAGGCTGAGAGAAATAAAGATAGATATATAAGAAAAAGGAAAGTACTATACCTTCATATTGTTTACTTTCAATTTTGCTTATCCTCATATCCAATATGTAGATTTTGGAAAGCTGTGACAAGTAATCTATTTTTAAAACTCATAAAATAGATAATTTATTCACAAATTTGCTGTTTTAAAATATCAATTGAGTATAATGCTCTGTTACTATTTTATTTTAAAGACTTTCAAATAGCCCTCAAATCTTCAAAGCAAAGTTAATGATTAATATAAATTTGGAACATAAGATTTTAAAGATAAAAAATTTGTTAAAAAAAAACTCCTTGTATGAGATTTCCCAATAAAGAATTGAAAGTATAAAGCCTGACCTTAAAACTTGGGAAGGTCTATTTTCTATTATCAAGATCTATGTAACTAATTCTTCTTCCAGAAATAAAACAGGGAACAGCCAACTAAAAATCAATTCACCACGTCTGAAGCTGCCAGATCCAGAATGAGCAAGAGCAGACATAATATGATTATGAGGACTCAGAGCATTCAGGACATACAACTGAATCCCACATAAATTGCCAGCCAAAGGGAGATGTTGCTGGATGACCTGCTAACAGGGATTTAGAGCGATCAAGCTTTTCGATCTATGTTTCCATGGTGAGGTAGATAACATGTTCAAAAATTAGGCTTTTATGGTCACAAATTCTGCCAAAACTTTAGCTCATTACCTCTAAACAAGTGTTCAATAATTGCAAGATTAATATTGTTGAGCATTTAGTGTATTAAAGCATTTGCTACTGTTATGAAGATTTTCCTGAAAAAAGACCCACTTGAAATCATCTCTATTTTATTGTAGATAAAAGTGAGACATGAAAAGAAATGCTTTTTATAACACGATGCAGTGTATTAGTGTAAGAAAGTACCTGAATGATTAATTTAATACTACTTGTGGTGGCACTCAATAATAAACCTAACAAAATCAAGACAAGAGAATTGACAGAGTTCTTCCTTGACTTATGAATGTCTATACATAGACTTTTACGTGTGTAGATATGAAATCACATTTAGAGTGCATACACACGTATACACATTTATTACGTATCTACTCAGAAATACTTTATTGTAGAAAAATATTCTATTAAATCAGGAAAAGAAGCATTATTATTTACACATGGATAACAGAGGTAACATGCATTTCCATATCTATACAGCAGGTATAAGGTGGAGCATATGTTTTTAAGAATTCAACGTCTCCACAACAGAGACAGGAGCAAAACAGGACCATTGTCCCAGCAGCCCCACATACAATGCCAACAGGACAGAAAACTTTCCTTATACCAGACATCATAATCTCTTTATGGACTTGAATGTTGAACTGGTTAAATAATTGTCCAAAATGATTTTTTTGAATAATGAAAGTGAATAAGGTATTAGCTGGCAATTTTTTCAGGCATGCAAATGGTGGCTAAAATTTATTAATATACTATTAAAACAGAACATTATTATCCTGTTGATATTTAACTATTTTCATAACCTGTATTCCTGTGCCTTTATATATATATGTGAGTCTATATATATTCATTTTAATAGGCAATGCTACTTTTAAACATAAAAAAATGCCAGCCACTTTTTTTATCCCAAAGATGACTTTGCCATGTCAGTGTACTGCTTCAGCTTTGTCTCATGTTTCCTGTGCTAAATAGCTAGAAAGATTGTATCTGTCTCTGTTTTTTAGAAGAAAAAAAACCATTTTTTTCTCCATGATTGAGTCCAATGAGAAAAATGCCCCTTGGTTTTGCAGATACCACTAAACACTGTGGCACTCCCGCGAATCACTCTTATATATCTTCCTTTAGGTAGCCACCTGGCATTGTGCTGTTAAGTCACTTAAACTCACTGTGAAACAGGATACAATTTCACTCACAATATTTCCAAACCATGTAATAATGAAATATGTTAATAATAGGGCTGTTCTGAGTCACCATTCATGATTTCTTAACTTTCAGGTTGGTATTAGCAAAAGGTACAATTACGTCTAGAAAAGTATCATCTTGATTTATTGCTACATCATCTTCAAAATGACAGTATTGTGATTTGGAAGAATATCCTAACTAGCAGGGAAGAAAGTGGAACAACATAATCCATGACACTGAACAATTCTCATATTTGTTGTCAGAGTCATAATTATTTGTTGCTTTGCTTTTGAATTTTTGTTTATGAATCCCTTGCTAGATGAATAGTTTGCAAATACTTTCTCCTTGTCTGTGGTTCGTCTCTTCACTTTGTTGATTATTTTCTTTGCTGTACAGAAGGTTTTAGATTAATATTATCCCATCTATTTTTCCTTTTGTTGCCTGTCTCCTTGTCTGTGTTTCGTCTCTTCACTTCCTTGATTATTTTCTTTGCTATACAGAAGGTTTTAGATTAATATTATCCCATCTATTTCTTTCTTTTGTTGCCTGTGGTTCTGAGGTCTTATCAAAAAACAAAAACAAAAACGAAAACAAACAAACAAATAAAAAAATGTAGACCAATGTCTTATAGCATTTTCCAATGTTTTTATTTTCTAGTAGTTTCATAATCTTGGGTCCTACATTTAAGCCTTTACTCCATTTTGAGTTGATTTTTGTGTATGATGACAAGTAGGGAGGTCTGATTTCAGTCTTCTGCATATAGATATCCAGTGTTACCAGTACCATTAAAGAGACTGCTTTTTCTCCAATGTATGTTCTTGGTGACTTTGTTGAAAATGGGTTGACTGGAAGTATGTAGATCTTTTTTGGGGTTCTCCATCCTGTTTTATTAGTATATTATCTGTTTTGAAGCCAGTACCATGCTGTTTTAGTTACTATAACTTTGTAGTATAATTTGAAATCAGATAGTGTGATGCCCCTAACTTTGCTGGTTTTGCTCAGGATTGCTTAGCTATTAGGGTGTTTTCTGACTTTAGATACATTTTAGGATATTTTTTCTATTTCTGTGAAGAGTTTCATTCGTATTTTAATAGTTATTGCATTGAATCTGTAGAGATCTTTGGGTAGTATCAGTGTTCAAACAATATTAATTTTTCCAATCCATGAGAATGCAATATCTTTTCTTTTTTTGTCCTCTTAGATTTTTTTCATCAGTGTTTTACAATTTTTTATATACAGATCATTTATTTCTTTGGTTAAATTTATTTCTAGGTATTTTTTGTAGCTATTATAAATTAAATTGATTTTTTCATTTATTCTTCAGATTGATGACTGTTAGTGTATAAAAATGCTACTGAATTTCATATGTTAATTTTGTACTCTGCAATGTTATGAAGCTCATTTATTATAAGTTTCTGGTGGAGTCTTTAGTTTCTTTAAAATATAAGATGAAGTTATCTGTAAAGATAATTTGAATCGTTCCCTTTGAATTTGGATGTTCTTAAATGTTTTCTATTGCCTAATTTGTCTGGCCAGAAATTTCAACACTATGTTGAAAAAAAGCTGTGAAATTGGACATGTATGTCTCACTCCAGATCTTAGTGGAAAAGCTTTCAGTATTTTCCACTCAGTAGAATATTTGCTGTGAGCTTGTCATATATGGCCTATATCATGTTGAGGTACACCATTTCTACGCTAAGTTCGTTGAAGGTTTTTATCTTAAAGAAACGTTGATTTTTATCAAATGCTAGTTTAGCATCTATTGAAGTAATTATATGGTTTTTGTTTTTAACTCTGTGAATGTGACATATTATGTTCATTGATTTGCATATGTTGAAGCATCCTTGCATCCCTTAGACGGATCCCACTTGATCACAGTGAGTGAACTTTTGAATGCATTGTTGAATTTGGTTTGCTAGTGTTTTGTTGAGTACTTTCACAACTATGTTTATTTTGTAGAGTTCTTTCACAACTGCGTTTGTTTATTGTTGTTGTGCCTTTATCTTGATTTGGTATCAGGGTAATGATTGATTCACAGAATGAGTTGGGAAGTATTTCCTCCTCTTCAATTTTTTGAAATAGTTTGAATATAACTGACATTAGATCTTCTTTAAATGTTTGTTAGAATTCATTAGTGAATCAATCACATCCTAAACTTTTCTTTGATAGAAGAATTTTTCTTAGTTTTTCAATCCTGTTACTTGTTATTGGTCTTTTCAGGTCTTCTATTTATTTATTGCTCAATCTCTATAGGTTGTTTGTGTTCAGGAATGTATCCATATCTTCTCGGTTTTCAAAATGGTGGGCATATAGTTGCTCATAATAAAAGCTAACAATCTTTTGTATTTGTGTGTTAATTATAATGTGTGCTTTTTCATCTCTGATTTTTTTGTGTCTTTTCTTCTTAGTCTAGCTAAAGGTATGCCAATTTTTATTTTTTTTCTTAAACTATCTTTTGTTTTATTATCTTTCTTATTTATTTAATCTTAATTGTATTTACTTATGCTCTAATATTCATAATTTATTTCCATATATTAATTTTGGGGTTGGTTTGTTCTCGCATTTCTAGTTTCTTGTGGTGCAATGTTAGGCTGTTTCTTTGGAGGCTTTCTTTTTCTTTTTTGATGTAGCATACAATGCTATAATTTTTTTAGTACCTCTTTTTCTATATCCCCTAGGTTTTACTATGTTTTGTTTTCATTTTCATTTGTTTCAATCATTTTTTTAAATTTACTTCTTAATTTATTCATTGACCCATTTGTTGTTCAGAAGCATGTTGTTTAATTTTCATGTATTTCTATAGTTTCACAAGTTTCTCTTGTTATTAATTTCTAGTTTTATTCTAATACAGTCAGAAAAAATGTTTGATATACTTTTGATTTATTTAATTTGTTGAGACTTATTTTGTATCTAACATATGGTCTATCCCAGGGTTCCCCACCCGCAGTTGGTACGGGTACCTGAGACTGGTACTGGTCCGTGACCTGTTAGGAACTGGGTCGTACAACAGGAGGTGAGCAATGGGTGAGTGAGCGAATCTTTATCTGTATTTACAGCTGCTCCCCATTGCTCACATTACTGCCTAAGCTCCATCTCCTGTCAGATCAGAGGCAGTATTAGATTCTCATAGGAGCACAAACCCTATTGTGAAATGTGCATGCAAAGAATCTAGCTTGAGTGCTCCTTGTGAGAATCTAATGCCTGATGATCTGTCACTCCCTTCCACCAACCCCAGATGGGACCATCTAGTTGCAGAAAAACAAGCTCAGAGCTCCAGTTGATTCTACAATATGGTGAGTTGTATAATCATTTCATTATATATTAAAATGTAATAATAATAGAAATAAAGTACACAATAAATGTAATGCTCTTGAATCATCCTGAAACCATCTCACCCCCAACCTTTGGGTCTGTGGAAAAATTGTCTTCCACAGAACCAGTCCCTGGTGCCAAAACATTTGGGTACAGCTGCTCTATCCTGGAGTATGTTCCATGTGCTAATGTTAATAAAATAGTCTATAAATGTCTGTTAGGTCTGTTTGTTCTAGGGTATACTTTAACTCCAATGACTGTCAATTTTCTGCCTGCATTAGCTATCCATTGCTGAAAGTACAGTGTTGAAGTCACATACTATTATTGTATTGAAATCTACCTATCCCTTTATATCAACTGGCACCTGCTCATGGGAAGAAGGCTGCTTCACGTGTTTTATTGGCTCAGATGAGTATGCATCATCTAGCAGGGCCCTGCACAAGCAGGATAGTTTCCTGACTTCAACAGGAGAGTTCATAGACAAGACTGGCTCCTATTCGTATATGCTGTGGAGTGGAGGCTGGTGTGCCTGTCACATTCGCTCAGATGGGCATGTGTTTCCCAGCAGGTCTCTGCATAGACAGGATAGTTTCTCAACTATAGCCGGGAGGCTGGATCTGAGACTGGGTCTCCTCAGGATCTGCTGTGGAAAAAAGGCTGGAGAGCCTTGTGTTTACTCAGAGGGCTGTACATCACACAGCACTTTCCTGCAGAGGTAGGAGCGTTCCCTGATTCAGTCAAACGGCCAGTTTTGAGATGGGACCTCCTCAGAATTTGCCGTGGGATGGTGGCTGAAGAGCTTGGTCTTTTTGGTTCAGAGCGGGACCTGTCTCCCAAGACGATGCTGCACATATGAGATAGTTCCCTGACTGCTGAAGCAGGAAGGGCTGGAGCTGAGACAGAGCCTTCCCAGGATCTACTGTGAGCTGTGGGTTGGAGGCTGGACAGTCCATCTCATTGGCTCAGACAGACAGACAGACATCTCCCAACAGGTCTCTGCACAAATGGGATAGTTCCCCAGCTGCAGTGGTAGAGGATGGAGCTGAGTCTGGCCCCTTCAGGATCTGCTGTGGGGCTGAGACTGAAAAGCCCATCTCATTGGCCTGGACAGGTATGTGTCTCCTGTCAGTTTTTAGTATAGATGAGATAGTTCCCTGACTGTAGCAAGAAGTGTCAGAGCCGAGGCTGGTCACCTTTGAGATCTGCTGTGAAATGGAGGTTGACAAACTGACCTGGGATGCCTAGACTTTGGGGCTGGGAGACGTGATAGTCTCCCTCTGGGTCCTTGTACAAACAGCAGCTCTGAGTTGAAACCTTAGCTGAGGAAGGCTGGAGTAGAACCACAGGGCAAGTTTCAGCCTCATTGCTGAGGCCAATGTTGGCAGGCAGAGGAGCCTTTCTACCAAGACACTAGCGTGTACAATTACTTTTGGACCCCTTGGCAGATAGTTTTGCTTGCAAACTCAAGGTCAAATGAGGCTATAGCCAAGTTGCGTGGGGGACTGGGCAATTTCTCGGCTTGAACTTGGAAGCAAGCTCAGTGAATTGCTTTGGGAGTGCAGACTAAACGCAGGAACAACGACCTGGGTGTTGTCTACTCTCAAAACAATACTCCTAGGTCTTGGGCTCCAGAATAGTTTCAAAAACTCCTATTTGAATCCTGAGGCTCCTATAGAGAAACTTTTAACTGTGGATTGGTATAGAATTTTTGTTGTTCTGGGGGGATATGAGTGCGTTATCTTCCATTCTGCCATTCTTGATGATGTCACTCTAGTGTTTAATTTTGATGAAGAATATTTCGTAAATGTTTTAATGGATCATAATTTTAGCATCAGAATTAAATATTTTTAATGTAAATGTGGATATGTTCTATTTTATAACATTGTGTTTGAAAACAAATAGACTTACTTAAATTGAAAATAAGTAAATAGTTACTTATGAGTACATTTTTGAACCTATTTGAGTATATTCCCTTGATATAAAGAATTGATGTAATTATCCTAATTATTTCTAGTGTTTTGTCAGGATTATAATAGAAAATGAATGGTAGGGAAGCCTAATTGGTGTTTTGAATAAAAAACTTGGTGCTGCGCATTGCTATGTCCTGCCAGTTTATGTAAAGAGTGCAAAAAATAAAGAACTCTTTATTTACATATATGTTTATTCACTTATCAATTTATTAAAATATTAATTAAGGGATTATTATGTGAAGATAATATGCTAGCTGTTGATAATTAAACAAAAAACAAATCAGACTTGAAAAAGTGGTAACATCTTTTTAGGAAAGGGCCACATATATTGAGAGAATAACAAGGATATTCAGGTTGAGATTTTGAGCTAAAAAATAATTTTTCTGCATAAGTATTACTTGACCTAAGACTTAATGAATAAGAGTTAGCTATTTATAGATTGATGAAATGATAATGGGATGATAACTTCAGATACAGAAAACATCACGTGTAATGTTCTTCCTGGGAAAAAGCAGCATAACACATAGGAAATTGATGTGAGACGAGTAGGACTGAAGTATAAAGCAGGACAGAAGATGAAAAACGTGAAGTGGAAGTAAAGGCAAACCAGATTGTGCAAAACCTGTTGGCCATCTAAACAATACTTAAACTATATGATAGAATATGGATGCTTGAAACTTTGTGTCCAATCTTTCCAAGAAAGGCCCACTGTATGACATTTGCTAGAAGAAAGATCACAGGACCCAAATTCAAAGCTAAATGTGTAATTAAGCTCTTTAACTTTCATCATTAGTAGATGGTCACCCACAATGACCATGCTAATTACTGAACATGGAAGTGCTATACTGGAACGTACGAAGGGACATCTGAGAGCAAAGTAGATGAAGCTGTACAGGGAATCAGATAGTTGATGGGCATAGCTGAGCCTCAGATCCAGGGCCACGTAGAGAACCACACATGCTTTTGAGCATTAACGATATGGGAACTATGTTGTTCCATGGTTCAACCAGATTGATGAGTGGGATACATTTTCTAAGCTGAAAGTCAGTAAATTGGCTTCGAGTGGGATCACTTCTCATTGAATTTCCTATATGAATTCAAAAACTACAAAAACTATAAGGCCATGAGGATATGATGGCTCTGAAACCAAGGAATCTGTTGGCCTACTAATGCTTCCAAACCATGACAACTGCCCATCCTTTCCTGACATAATGGCCTGGTCATGAGAGCAGTGAGTACAACAGTGGAGCGAGGGGTGGCATGAAGTGGGGCATTTTACCTTTTCCAAGTGCGATGCTGAGGATCAGTATATTATTTCATTCCAAACTTAATTTTTCACTTGCCAGGCATAATAAATTAGTGTTTCCCTAATGTCCTCTCTCCTCTACACAAAAAAATAGATATTTTAGAACAAAGAAGAAAGATTTATAAATGGGATATATAAGAGTATATTCAATTAAACAGGCCGAAAGATCACAGGACCTTCAAAATAAATATCTTGAAGGTGTAGGAGAAAGTGGAAAAAATGGGAGTGTCAATTCATTAAGAAGACAAGACAGGATGGAGTACCAAGCGCACGTGAAAAAATTTGCCTCCAGTACAAAGAAAGACACTTTCTACTTCTTAAAAGACACAAAGAAAAAAATAAAGACTGGGCATATGGCTGTAGGTTTCTAGAGTTGCTGGTGGGGAGATGAAGGAGTTCCCATCTGATAGCTTCTATTTTTTACAATGAATTCCGTGGCAATATCATCAGGTGAACATGTGTCTTGTGGGAGTTAGAAAGACCTAAGATGTTTGAGAACAAAAAAAAAATGTACAGTGGCAAAGTCTTCAGGGAATATGAGGGAGTAAGTCAGATAGGACTGAAGTCTCCCTAACCACTTTTCAAGAAATTATTAGCACTGGGTTATCTTTTGCAGGGAGGTTCAAGTTATGGCACTTGAGAATATAAATTTATATAATGGGTTTAATCTCCCCCAAATAAAACATAGATATCAGATACAGCATAGTAGACTAGGCAAGAAGAGAACATTTGTAACTAGTCTCCACCAGGTACTGGCTGCACAATTTAGACAAGTTATATAACCTCTAAGTTTAAAATTTCAACACAAAACTTTAAAATAATAACAAATATCATATACCTGATTTATTGAAGGACTTAACATGTGTGAAGCATTTATTACAAAACATGGTGCATATTTAGTCTTCATTGATGGTACTGATGAGGGTAATAGTAGCGAGAGTTATTACTATTTCAGACCCCCTTGATTGAGAGAGACACTAAGAGCGGAATATATCATAATCTGTTTCCCTGCTCATTTTTTCTCAGGCAAATTTCTTCTACTCCATCTGCTTACTTTCTTGCTCACTACATATGCTCCTTCATTTCAACTTTGTCTGTTATACTCCAGCATGGCTGAACTATTTACAGTATTCAAAAAAAATGCCATGTCACCTTACACATATGCACATTTGCACAGTTTTCTTGCTGCCTGGAAACACAACCAGTTCAACTAGTACTCCCACCAAAACACAAACATATGAACATCTCACTCCTCTTTTGCCAGTGGAGATTTCTCCTTTAAAATTCAACTCAGACACAGGTGGCATAGCTGAGTTGAATTACATGAATACAGGTTTGTGGCCATTCCTTCGTCCCTTCCTCTGATGAAATTATATAATATTCTCTGTGTCATATCAATTGATGATGAGCTTCCTGGAAGAGAATGGGCGCCTTCTCTTTTACATTAACTATCATACACAGATACTCACACACAAAAGGCTTCATACATAGTCATTCAATTTAAGGACAGCACCTCTGAAAGCAGAGACAACTCCACACACGCTCTAAACCAGGCTTCAGAGACAGAACGGTCTGTACATGATCAATGTGGGAATAAAAGGGCTGGAGTTTTTCCAAGTTATTAAAATCCTACCAACTGCACTATCAACAATAACAGTGGAAGTACAGAGATCCAAAGCAGTGCCAGGTTTGTTAAGAAGAAGGATCAATAGTTATGAAAGAGAATAAACCACACCACATAGGTGAAGTTAGTGAACAGGTGAAGGCAGGAAATAGTAAAGCTTTCCAAGAGAAAAAAAAAATGCCTCAGATCCAGAAATTCTTAACATCCAAATAAAATAAATGATGAAACAATCCAAACTTTCCTTTGGAAAGAGAGTGATTAGAGTAGCCTCAGACTCTCCTTCCGTGTTAGGAAATATCATAAGATGGGCACATAAAAAGCCAACGTGGCTTTCTGTACTACTTTTTACTTTTGGGTAATTTTGCATGTTTGCAAATTCTATTTTATGACTAGCATTTTATCTATGTTCTCTTTGGGATTTGAGAGTCTTTCTTTAGTGTATTCATTTAATTGTTTTCTGCTTGACTTAAGTACTAAATGTTTGGGGTATAGTTAACCTGAAGGTGGTTATTAGATTTTCCTTTACTTAGAAAAGAATGCTGCCTAAGACCACTCTATAACCTTGCCCCCCCCCATTTTAACAAATGCATTATCACTTTAATGATTCAATGCAGTGTGTTTCTTTTATGCAAAATATGGATTTGCAGAGAGAAAAAGAGAGAGAGAAATCAAGTAGATAAAAAGTTTTTTCTCATCTTCTACTGTATTTTATAGCAAGAATACAGTAAGGATATGACAGTTTGGGCATTCTTTGACGTATGGATACAGAAGTCCATTTTATTATAAACACTGTTTTAAGTCTTGGTACCTGATAAACAAGTTACTTTTCATTGTGGATACATAGTATAGTCGACCTCACCTTTTCGATTTGTTTAATATGTCTTCTGTATGCAGTTTTTTTTGTGTGTTTTTTACGCTTTTAAGAAGACTTGCCAACAATATTCTGTCATCTTTAATATCAAGTAGGACATCACTGACTTAAAGTTGCTTGGAAGAACAAGAGTACATTGCAGACACACATTGTTGAACTTATTCCTAGATTAAATTTGTGTTGATCAATGTCAATTCTTCCAGGATGCCAGATGGCATTTTGACTTACCCTTTCTTACATCAGTGGTGTTGCAGAAGTGCCTGTCAGTAGGGAAAGACGTAGGAAAGATGCTCTTTCACAGGGAAGGACTGGTGTCAGACCTTAAATACAATTAAGAGGAAAAAATAGGAATATTTTAAATAACTATTGTTTAAAAATTAATTGCACATGAGCTAAAGTAAACTAGTTTGCTCTTCCAGGAGGATCACAAAATAATTTATTTCCAACTCCATTTGAAGCTTGTGATAGTGAAGATATTCAAGGGCCTTTCAAACCATTAAACCTCTTTACATATCATTTAAAATATTCTCATGTGCCAAGAATAATTTTGTCTAATTGTTCAAAGAAAATAATGTTTTCTGAAACTTGCCATCTATACTTGGTTGATAGTTCAGGATAAATTATTAAAAATAATTTCACACATTTCATCTCAAATATTGCTTAATCCATTATGTATGTATTGTCTTACAGTCCAGAATCTGTGTAGATTATCAATCAAACTGAAGTAATTGCTACAGGAGAAGTGTCTGACCTAACTGCAAATGTCAAATAAATATGTTGGAGAGAAAATTATTTGATAAATTTCAGAAAACATTTTCTTTTCTCGATGGGCGGAAAAACAATAGTTTGTGTTTACAAACATACGTGTGTGTTTGATGGTCAGTTTTTCCCCATAATGCTACTGAATTCAAGTTGCTAGGGATATCTCAGGAAGAGGTACTAGCACTTAATATCTACTGTCTTTCAGTTCCTCTTATCATCGCTTTAACCCTCAGAATAAAGTGCTCTTTAGGACTTCTCAGTTTTGTAGATGAGGAAGCTGAAATTGGAAGAGAATAAGAGACTTGCTTAATTAAGGTCACACAAATATTAGATTGGTGCAAAGGATTGCAATAACCACAATTACTTTTGCACCAATGTAACTTTATTGCTGGAATGTCAATAGGAGTTTAAGTTGAGAGACTATTCTAAGAAATCTCACATCAAAGGCTTCTATGGCACCGTTCTTAATTTACTCATAGGTTTAGCTCTAATTTCTACAGTACAAATGATCAGTTTTCTTTATAAATTTTCTGCTCAGATTATATCTTGTTTTCCAGGGCAACGCCTTGCTTTTATGGGCTGGAATATGTAAGCTGGTTAACGTTGCAGAGGCCTCATGTTACATAGACCTGATATCAATAGAGGCAAAGATAAATAAGATCAAGTTGATATTAATTTGGTGGATAGGCACATTTCAATATTCTCTTGAGTCCTCTGCAGAAATCTGATTTTACAGACTGATGATAGAATAGATTTGTGTGGGGCAACATTTATGTAAATAAATATTTCAATATTATACTTCTTGCCATTCTAGTAATCAATTTCAAATGGGTTTGTTGTTGATTATATTTTTATAGATTTCTAAGAAGAACATATTATCCAAAGTAAGTAAAACTTATTTTACATGATCAAATTTACCTTTTAACTTAAAACTTTTCAATCTGGAGGTGCATTACACCTCGTAGAATAATTTGTGTAGAAGGTAAAGGATATTTAGGTGGAGGTTTCTGCTGTGGCTTCCCCTGTTAAAGGATGGTTCATTAGCATACAATAATGAGAGAAAGAGCAGTAATTTGTGACTATGCCCCAATCTTATTTGTTTAGACTAGGGCATTGCCTGACTTCCCTATGTGACGGAGTTCATGCATTAACAAAACTTTCTGCTTTTCTCAGACCCAACTTTTCTCTTTTTTAATTATCCAGTGTTCCAAAAAAATTTTTCTATTGGAATGATAGTTCCTGATTACATTAGTCTTCTCTCAGACCCCCACCTTCAACTTGTAAGTGATGTTATTCAAACCCATGATTTAAGCTTTTTTGTTTACTAAAGCTATTTCTTAGTGATTTTTCAGAAACATACCTATCATTCATGGACTCAATTTAATTGTGATAGCCATATTCTGTAAGCTCTCACTTTACCTTCCTTAACTCTGTGAAAGTCTTCTTTTTTTAAAGTGTAGAACTGAGAGTAAAACAGTTCATTTTTATGAGTGTTCCTTAAAAATATTATGACAAATAATGACATAGGTCATTAGCGTATGATGTCCTAATAGAATTATTTTTGTTAGTAATCTGCCTGCCATTTGAAAATTGCCAAGCCATTGTCTTAAAAAAATGATTGAAGGTTGTTATTCTTTATATAGCAAAGGAAAGTGCTGGAAAAATTCTCTTTAAATTTAAGAGAAAGCAATAATTATTTTAAAAATGGGTTCCCTGAGTAGTTCCAAACACTAGAATAGTTGCAATAAATTAGTGAAGTCATGTCTTCTTACATTAATTAGATGCATTGTAAAGTAAATGTCTTCATTTTTGTGTAATTGGGAAATATAATTTGAAGAATTAAATAATCTTTTTATGTAGGACACTATATTCAGGCAGCACCTAATTATTTGAATGTTTCATATTTCATGTTTAGGTACGATATGTTTAGTACATGTATGGGATCACTTATCCTATGTGGCAGTGGAACTTTCGATGTCTGTCTCAATCATAATAAGCTATATTAGTCTTTAGTCAGAAAAAAAGGCTCCATGTCTATGTGGCTTAAAACAATTAAAGTTTATTTTCACTCATGCTACATGTTTATAGTTATTGGCTGGCAGCCTTCTTCCAAATGTCTTCTCTCTGGGACACTGTCTGGCAGAGCCTCATAGCAATACTCCTCAATGTTTAATGTGCATATAAATCACTTGTTAAAATTCATATATTGGTTCACCTCTGTGGAGGTACCTGAAATACTGGATGACGTCTGGGCCTAGAACAAAAACAGATCTGGAAAGTATGAGCCATTGCTGAAAACCTCTGACTTCTAAGAACCCTTGAATTCCTGCCATAGTGAACTTAACTTCAGATTAATCCCCTCTCATACCTTTCCCACCATTTCAATAATAAAAGAAAGGGTCCTCCAGTGCACCAGTCACTTTTTCCCCTCAGCAACTAATACTCTATTCAATAGTGAAAGTTTCCCTTACAACAGAAAAGTTTGATTATGGCTTCTAATACAAAATTTACTCTTACTTTAACAGACTATTGCTCAAAGTCCTCCTTGTCTATATTCAGTATTCTTCATCTTCAGAGTGAATGTTATAAAGAAATCTAAAATGTTTTAACTCCATTAAATAATCTGGCACACCCATGCTAGAGAAACAACAATAACATAAAGATGCATAGTTGTATCTACACATCAGCTTGCAAATTACTCAGGCTAAACACACTGACTTTCTCTGCATTTGAATACGTGGTCTCATCTATTACTCATATTGACTTCAGCTCGCTGCTCACACACGTTAATCATCCAATCCCCTTGAACTGTCAAGCTCCTTCTGACTTTTTTTTTTTTTTTAACCAGTCAAGACCTGATATTTGTTAAGACGCAGTTTCCAGGCCGGGCGAGGTGGCTCATGCCTGTATTCCCAGCACTTTGGGAGGCCGAGGCGGACAGATCACAAGGTCAGGAGGTTGAGACCATCCTGGCTAACATAGTGAAACCCCATCTCTACTGAAAATACAAAAAGAATTAGCCAGGCATGGTGGCACGCACCTGTAGTCCCAGCTACTCAGGAGGCTGAGGCAGGAGAATCACTTGAACCCAGGAGGTGAGGTTGCAGTGAGCTGAGATGGCACCACTGCACTACAGCCTGGGCGACAGAGCAAGACTCTGGAAAAAAAAAAAAAGATGCAGTTCCCATATGTACCCAATAATGGAAAACCATAGGCAATGGTAACTCTATCTGGAACATTGTTCTTGCCTTAATTACTCACACAAATGTAAGAAAGAACATAACATTTGTATCTTGTGATCTCCTTGTACTTCTCAGTACTACCAAATCCACGAAACACGTGAAGGGAAATACATTATTTAAGCATATGGACAAAAGACCCTCATGAATTGGCTAGAATAGTATAAGGCATACATCATATGAAATAGTTGTGAGCACAAGGAAAATCAAATAAAAAATGTACATTCGGCCAGGCGCAGTGGCTCACACCTGTAATCCTAGAACTTTGGGAGGTCGAGGAGGGCAGATCACCTGAGATCAGGAGTTCAAGACCAGCTTGGCCAACATGGCGAAACCCCGTTTCTACTAAAAATACAAAACTTAGCCAGGCATGGTGGTGTGTATCTGTAATCTCACCTACTTGGGAGGCTGAGGCAGGAGAATCATTTGAACCCAGGAGGCAGAGTTTGCAGTGAGCCGAGATCATGCCACTGCACTTCAGCCTGGGTGACAGAGTGAGGCTCCATCTCAAAAAAAAAAAAAAGGAAGAAAGAAAAAGTATATATCCACCATCTCTGTGAATGGCCTGCATCTGCCACTTACCTGAGAACTGAACATAGAATCTGATATCCATTAGCATTACAGGTCATTCAGCTATCTAAAACAAATTTCCAACCTTCTGTGCATGTATTTCCTCTTTCTCCATTCCCTACCCTAATGAGATAAGGCATTTTTGAATAATATTGTAAACATCATGAATAGCTTGTAATAGGAAAAAATTTGTACATTGTAAGATAATTAATTGGAGAAGATGACAATTAGGACTAGGGTCAAATCCAGGATTTGATTTCAAGGGACTGATAGGTATAGGAAGCATATAACCTAAGAAATGTGCCCTAATAGCCTATGTTATCTGAAAAGATTAAAATACTCATTGAGTGACAAACAAATTCTGCATATTTTACTACTTAATAGAATGGTTTCTTGGCCCTATTTTTGATTTCTCTTTTTCCTATAATCCTGATCAGTATATCACATCCTCTGAGTGAGCTCCTCAATCTTCACTGGGGTATCAGTATGGGTAGCTGTGGAGCCAGAAAACCATGTGTGTGACGTCATTATGGTGGCAATATGTACCTTATCATTTTATTTTGTGGGGAAGTTATTATATTCAGCCTCAGCAAGAAGCAATAAATGCTCTAGAGTCAATTGATAATGCAGGTTCAGATCTTGGGAGAAAGGTCAGAACAGAGTTTATAAAATTTGAAGTCATTCTCATAGAGGTGGTAGTTAAAAAGATAGAACAGAGCAAATAAACTGTAGACAGCAAAGGGTCATGCAGTGACTCCTTGGGTAACACCTGAATTAGTAGAGGAAAGGAGAAATACAATTCAGCGGTAGAGACACTAGGAAAAAAAATTAGTCAAGAATAGAAAAATTGCAATTTAATGGGCTGAGGAATTAGAAAATTGATTTCATAATGTTGCCATCAATCGTGATGAATGATACAGAGAATTCAAGATAAGGTAACTTTATATCTTGTTTATTTTGGATTTTGATTTCTAGTAAGAAAGGGCCAGTTACTATGCAAGCTCTGTAATTAGACAACCTGGATTCAAGCCCACGTTCTGATACTTGCTAGCTCTGTTGTCCCTTTGGGTGATAGTTTCTAAGTTTTCTACACTTCTAAATTCTTACCTGTATATAGGTAAAATTAGATAATCCATGTGAAGGCTTTAGGTGTTATCTGGCATAAAAAGCCTTCAATAAATATTAGTTTAAAAATAATGACATGATTATATTTGTAAGAGCAGTTGTGAAGAAGGATGAAAATCCATCCAGTTTGCAACAGAGTTAGAATTTGGGTGTAGTTATGTACTCTACTACGTACTATGGTAAGTGGACACTACTTGTCTAACTGCAGTAGTAGAGTGGTACATCTATCACCTTTGATGAGTTGACAATTTGTGCCTTTTTTATTACCAGTTTTTAGAATAAGTCTCCCTTGAACATATTTTCAGTAGACTGAAAGGAAGAAGTAAAGAAAAAAATATTTATAAAGACAAAAGCCATACATGAAAAGATGAATCAGAAACTCAGTGGGAATATTAGCTTGGGTAAGTGAGACTAATAGATATTCATCTGAACCCAGGGTGTAGGGGAGGAGTAAAGAAACACGTATATTGATATTAGAAAATGGAGTTTTTTTTTCAAATATCCTCAGTCTGAAAACATAAGAAAGGTCAGCTATAGAGAGTAAGAGTAGTAGAGATGAGGTTTCATATTGAGAAAGCAGAAAAAGATTGGGATAACACCAAATAGAATATTAGATAGTGTCATTTAATAATGACTAAAAAAAAGTTACAGAATTAGGAAGATAACAGGGAGGGTAAAGATCTATAGTATGCTTTCATCTAAATCACAGGACTTGGATGTAATTTTGCAAGCATTAAACGGTGAACAAAAATAAAGTTAATAACACAAAAAATTAAAATTGAGAATGTTCAATCTCAGAGTACTATAAAAAATATATTGAAGGAATGATCTTGAAACAAGAAGACTACTAAAATAGCCATCTTATATGAAAGAACTCAGCATGCAAGGCAATGGGAGTGAAAACGGGGGCAAGAGGGATGGAATGAATGGCAGATACATATTCTTCTGGTTGAATGTAGTCATTTAGCTCACATTTCTAAAACCTATCATAATAAAAATTTAACTGTCTGATATTTTCTACTTGCCAACAAATAATTATATCATAAAGTATGTCATGTATTTGAAACAATTAATTTTCAAATCAAGTTAAAATATCATGGCTAAACTTTCTTCAACCAAGCAACTGACTCTGCAGTATGAGAAACCACAGATTTACTACACTGAAGATACAATTAATTAGCATGGTTTGAGGCAATGGAATCAGAAGTTTGGCTTATTTAATGAGGATCACTGTCTATTATGTTTTCACAAACGAACTCAACTGTTAACTTTCTTCAAATACAAAGCATATTTAAAAATATTTCTATATTATATATATATGTATATATATATATATAGCTTCCAAAAGTCTCTTGAGTGTATGTTTGCAAAATTCTCATGAACCGGCTGCTTCCTTTGAGTGTTTGTTTTGTTTTGTTTTGTTTTTAAGTTCGGGTCTAGTCCTCGGAATCAAACTCACAGACCAATATAGTCATTTAAACTTTGTTCTAAAATGAATGAAATGAAAATACTGTTTGTGGAAGAAAACCATGTTTTTTTGTGTGTGTGGAGTTTTGTTTGTTTGTTTTTTTTGTTTTGTTTTGTTTTGTTTTTTACATAGAGGAAAAAGCAGCAGAAAATTCTTCCCCAGAGAAAAACATTCCTTGTTGATTTATGTCTGCAATAGGAGAATAATGTAACAGATGTATATTGCCTGGAATAAAGTAAATTCAGCAAATAAATTTAAATCACATACAACTTATGTTTTATGGTACAGTTGTGAATTGTGCTTTTTTGTTTCTATATGTAATTAGAAAGTGGAACAGATGTGAAGGTTAATTTTAATTTAGTGCGTCCATTACAAAGAAATATATATACTGCCTAGGGAAAGGAGGAATTTTGTTTCTTGTATGAATGTTCAGCTCTAGTTAGATATAAGAGCAGAGAAGTGGACTTTAGGACTCACTATATGGAAACATACGTAGTAAGACAAGTCACAAATATTGTAATAGTAATTTATGAAGCATACTTTGTATTATGTGGTAGATGGGGAAGTTGGAGTTTTCCGCTTAGAGATTTAGAGAGGTAGAGTATTCGTTAAAGTAATACATTATTTCATAAGATATTTCTACTTTGGGCTGGTTTATTGTGTGCACCTGCTCTTCGGAAAACATCTTTCTCCTCCTCAATCCCAATAATAGGATTAGAGGGTACAGCAAGCTCTCAGACAGGCTTTCTCTCCTTCCAACTGTGTATATTTTGGCTAGGGCTATTGCCAAGTGTCTGCTGCCTTGTAGGTTGGCTATCTTTGATACTAGAAAAAGTAGATAAAATAAATCAAGCCATGGTAAAAAGGCCCTAGAGCAGACTGTGGTAATAATTGTCAATTTTATATTTGCATCTCACTGGATAAAATAGGCCTCTGTGTTTTTCCTACCATTAATTTAATTCATACACACCAAATTTTATATTTTCAATTTGCATTGGGAGACAAAAATAGGATTGATGATGATCTGCCAGTTTTACCCTAAGGTTTAGAATAATACTCTGCACTAGATTAGAAAATGGCCAACTAAAAATATTTTGCACAAGATCATTTTGCCTTCAGCTTTTTGAAAGTGGGATTTAGGAAAGCTCTGTCTTAGGTGCCAAATTCTAGCTGCACATGCCATATTTGAACTTTGGATCTACTTTCCATACGAAAGTTTTAATTTCAGAAAGAAAATTTCTTAAAAAAACCTCCTTATATTCTAAAAACCAGAAGTCAGGAATAGAAAAACATTTGCTCCATAGCATTTTCTAAGAAAACAAGTATTTGGCATTAATTGACTATGATAAAGGAAAGAAAACTTTTAAAATTATTCCAATCATTGTCAAAATATGCAATGCATTTTTGGAGTTCAATGTGTCTTAATATTAAAGATCTATAATAAGACCAATAAATAGAATTGTGCACAAAATACATAAAGAAAAGTAGAATATTAAATCCATGGTGATAAATTATTCCTAAACTACCTGAACCGGACTGACAAGATGAAGGTAAAACTTTTCATTTGTGACATGCTTTTTGATGCCATTGACAAAAGATATTTTCAAAAACATCAGTTATTGTCTAAACACACGAAATGTACAGTAGCACTTCACTTCCTCATGTTTTTGTGTATAATATGGATAGTAATACCAATTTCACCATATTATTGTTAGAGTTCAATAAAATGTTGTATTAAACAATATTGCTCTGTGACAGGGTAGCCATTCAAGACTGAACCTTCGCTACATAGCTCCCCTTTGCACATTGACATTTATTTTGTTTCAAATTCAGGCCTCAGCAACAGAAACTACTATTATTTGTAATGAATCATCTGGATCAATACATCTACAAATATTTAAACTTGTCATCCAAGATTCACCTTTAACTTTGTCCTCAAGTTCTATCTCACTGGCCTAATGTTTCCAAAGGCAAGAAAAATCATCCAATATCTGCAATAATTTTCTCTGCTTCCATCAGCAATGTGAATCACAGCTTTTACTATTATTTGTTCTAAACTCTTGGACCTAAATAACCTTCATGCTAACATTTGTTGTTTGATCTTCAATTACCAGAGTGTATATTATATGGAGATAGAATTAGATAAGTACAGGTGCAGTTTCTTATTTAAAGCTCTGTGGGATTTTTCTTTAGTGAAACCATAGCAAATGGTAATAGTTCCAAATAGACGTGATTTGCTAACCTACAAGAGAACAAAGTAAGTTTTAGCAGCAGGTGATGGTCACAGTATTCCAAGGAGGACCACATGAGCTATGGATGAAGGATTGAGCCTGGATAATCTTGCCTTTGTGATGCTGCCCAATTCTGTAAATGACTTTCTCACTTCATTCAACCCCCTCTATCCAGTCATTGGCCAGCCTATTCTGTTTAAATTATCCTGTCTCAGCTTCTGGTCTAATCAGAATGGTAGTCAGCACTGCTCAACTCATTATTCCTGCAGTGCTGAGCTCCACAGGAGCCAAAACATAATGTACCTACATAATAGATGACTGAATTCGAAATAAAAATAAGCTATTTGTTTGAAATTTACCTCCCATATATTATATACTTGCATAGGAGGTCTCCTAAGAGTCTGTAGGGGAGCTTTGTCTGGAAACGTTATATAATATATGTTTACGTGCTGAGAGCAGAATACACATGTGATTACAATACTGTTTCATAGCACTGATTTCGTTTCCTTTTTTTTTTTTTTGGAATACATCCTTGAGAAAATTGGAATGCAAGTTCTATGACCAAACGACCAAACATATGCCTAAATAACATTCTAGCCTTGAGACAAATAGTTCCATAGGTGCATATATACACATAGATATAAATCACAGATTATAACTGCAATTTCTGTCATTAGAGGGTTTCAAATGTTCTTCAGCTTTGTGGTGTGCATATGATGGTCTAACCAAAATAAATGATTTCTCTATGCATACCGTGAGCTCTGTCAAGATTGAGAGCCCATTGTCTAATAATTTAGAACATTACAAAGGTCTATTTTCTGGATCTGAAAGAGATATTACTTCAAGCATAAATGCTGTTAGTGGGAGGAAGAAAATTTATCCATATTTCTCCCTATGTATCATTGAAAATGTGCAGGTATACATTTTACATCATTATTATTATTACCTGATGGCTATTCAGCACGCAGCCATCAAAGTGCATGATACATGTCCCTTCAGTTGAACACCGGAAAGCTATGAGCTAGTATAATTTGCCAGCTCTGGAGAGGACTGTCACTTACAATTTATGACTCTTAAATGGAAATTAAGGATGATAAACAAAAGTTTATGGAATGAGTTGCCTTTATGGGAAGAGGGTTAACATTAGTAGCCTGACAAGATTCAGGTGTTTCCTTAAAAGTCTCTTCAGCACAAAACCTTTATTATAGAAGCCTGTGTATAAAAACTTGTGAACTCATCTAAACCATGCATTTTTTTTTGGTCAAAGTGTTAATAAAAAGCTTTATTCATTTCAGGGATTTCAGATGTTAGTATAAATCATCTCTCTATATACTAGAGATTAAGTTAGGTTATTCCACAACTTAAACAAAGGAAACAAACAAACGAAAAAAAACATTGTGGTCGAAACTGAGTTAGGAAAGTCCACTGCTTTTAGCTATCTACAGCAAATCATAAAAATGGAGTGACTAACTCATTCCACTTTTCCTGGACTGCCCTGGTTTTAAACCTAAAAGTTCCATATTCAGGAAACCTCTTTATTACCGGGAAAATTGAAATGGTGGTCGCCTTGGATAGTGACAACTAGAAAATGACAATGGCCCTTAATTAGAAACTTCTTATATCCAAAAATGGGATGGTAGGAAGTAAACACATTTTATCCCCCCTGCCACAGACCACACAGATACACACACAAACATGCATGTACAAATGACTAGGTAAGATCAACAAAGAGTAACCGAGCGTTAGAAACTAGAAGTGAGTGATAAACACATTTTAAAGGCAAAATGAAATTTAAAAACAAATCAGTAGTATTAACCTTAGCTATGCTAATTATGAAGCTCAATTCTCACTGATAGATGAAGTGTCTTCAGCATACTTTGGTGGTTAAGAGCATAATCTTTGAAGCTGGGCGACTTATCAAACAAGAATGAAGATGTATGTCTTTTAATGAGTTAATACATATAAAGCACCCAGAATATAATGCTTGTTACTGCTATTCCTTCATCTTCAGTTTGTCATTTGATATGAGTGACAGTATATTTGCTGTTGGCTTTCTTTACAATTGCAAATTTGTCTCTTGAAACTGAGATGGCATCAAGCAATAAGCAAAATTAAAATGAGATGTCATATATTTAGATATTAATATTCACAACGTTTTTTCATATTATTTTAATCTTGATTCACATTTTGACTATTCTCAGATACATTTATACAGGTTCTTGTGGATATTTCACTTTGAGTTAACAGTTATATAGATGAACCATACTTGTATGACCACAAATGCAACACTAGTCGTCCTCTTTGTAAAACACCATTACATTATTAACACGTTTGATAAAAATAATAAACATAAAAACATTTATTTTGCATTAATTTTATAAATCACTCTTTGGTTACAGGTATGCATCCCGAAGTATCATATTGGGACAGTCCGTGGAAAAATAAAAATTAAATTAACAACATTGGTTCAGTATGTAATTGCAGCCTTGCCGACTTTATATACAAATTTGTGTCTCTTGAATAAAATTCAATGAAAATATTGTGCAAGCTGATGCTGCTCTGAAATTTTAATTTACAGACAAGATTAAGGATATACATAGTAAAGAATGGTGAGTAAATGGTTTGGAACTGGGATGTATTAATGAATTGCAGTGCATTAATAAAGCTTATATGTTCATTTTTAACCTGTGAATAATAGCAAATAAAATATTTTAGAATCAGATTTATTCATTACACCAAATAAAATTTTAAAAATATCAGGGTCATAAATTGCAAATATATAGGAGTCTGTTTTTGCCTTTCATTATCTCTGTCACTTCAATCAATATTGTGGTTTATAAAAGAAAGGTGAATAGCGATATAAGGAAAAAATAGCTTGCTTTATAGATAGGATTAAAAATACAATTGATTAGATGTGTATTTGAAGGGATATTTCTTTTTTTCTTCCTACTGCATCAAATATTTACAAGAATCTCTTTTGAGTTATTGGGGAATCTTCTATCATATTAACTCAACAAAGCATATTTTTTAATAAAAATCTTATACCTCTATTATTAGTGCATAATTCAGTTGATGTTATGTTTTTATTTATAAGTTATTGCAGGTTTCATGGACATTTATGTATATATATGCATTTAATTGTAATAATGTTCATTAATGGCTTCAAAAATTATTGTGTCCATAATTAATTAGCTACAGTTGAAAACATTTAAAGCCTACTAAAACTTATAAAAAAACACATGTTATATAGCTAAAGAAAATATCTTTCCCATATAAATAAAAAATGTGAATTTATAAAAGATGCTAATAAAGAGAGCACCATGAAATTAAACTTAGGGTGTTTTTTTTTTTAACTTTCTAGAGAAATGACAAACTGGTATAGACTGAGAGCTCCTTCCATTATAATTCACTCTGTAGAAACTATGAAAAAAATAGCTAAACATGAAGCCAAGGAATTAAAAATAACTGTTAGAAGTACTTGTAGAGGGTGGGCACAGTGGCTTATGTCTGTAATCCCAGCATTTTGGGAGGCAGAGACAGAAATTACTTGAGCCCACGAGTTTGAGACAAACCTGGGAAAATACAGCTAGACCCTATCTTATTTAAAATTTCAAAAATTAGGCCAGGCATGGTGGCTCCCATCTGTATTCCCTGCACTTTGGGAGCCTGAGGTGGGTATATCACTTGAGTGCAGGAGTTTGAGACCAGCCTGAATAACATAGAGAAACGCCGTCTCAAAACAAACAAACAAACAAAAAGTACTTGTAGAGACTCAGTTTTTTTGAACTGAGGTAAAAGTAGGATACATTTCACCAGCTAGGGATGTTGGTGGTAGGTTTATCAGAGGAATGATATATTGGAAAGCAGATTAAATTCCTGCTCTTGAAAGGAACATTGTAGTCCCCACTTCCATTGTGAGTTGAAAATAAGCAGCAATAGTCCATCCCATGGGGAACATGTTGTATGATACAAAAGGAGTGCTAAGTCCCAGCTGGGGAAAATAACTGATGAAAACTGGTATAGGAAATCAATTACCCAATACTCTATCCTCTTTTGAATATTCAAATTTTGATGATTACAAGCTAAAGAGTATATCTTTTTCTAGCAATATTTGTTTCCAAAATTTAAATGAGATTTTCTAAATAGAGAAGTTGTTTGAGGCAGTGGTAGTAAACTGAGCTGCACATCAGTCCATCTGTACTACCTAGAATCTATTGACAATCCTAACATCTTATAGCACCAAGAGGGACAAAACTGGAGCCTGAAGGTCAGCTTTTACTATAGTATCCAAGCAGAAACAAGGTTGCCAAAACCTCCAGAAAACATGAAATTGTAGATAAAAAATAATTAGACATCTGTAATGACATAAGACCACTATAAAAATAAGCAGCAAACACAGCAATATAGAAGCAATGAAGCAGTGGAACATAGATATCAAGGAGAACACATATATTTCATATATGTTCTATGTGCTATACATAAATATATATAAATTATACATGTATATGTAAAAAAGGAAATACATTTATTTGTAAATTAAGTGAAATAAAGTCCAAAATTGTGAGAAAGAGCACACAGAAGATGTTAGAAGGAGAACAAGAAGATTAGAGCGAATGGGAAAATTAAAATTATAGTCTAAAAGAACATACTGAATAACTCTTCCAGGAGATGACAAGTTAGAGTAAAAAAAGAAAATTAAATTAAATAGTTAAGAATGATAAAAATAGGAGAAATATAATCATATAAATAATTGAAGTTTCTGCAGAAAAAAATGTGTATTGAAAATGTTTGCAAAATTAATGAAAATATTTTTAGAATGAAAACAATATAAAAACATAAGATAGACTGCTCAAAGAATGCCAAATAAGATAAAAAAAGAAAGGTATACTAAGATATATTATATTAAAATTTTAGAAATTGAGAGATAAATGATTTTAAAACCTTTCAGAGAAAGACTACCATAAGTAACAAAAATTTAGAATGACAATACAGCCCTATACAGAAATCATAGAGCTATCATAAAAATGTTTTCAAAGTATAAACAGAAACATTTGAATACTAATTCTGCAAAATTGTTGTCTATATGTGTGTTTCAAATATGTAGACATTTAAGACTTCAGAAGTGTTTTCACTATAAGGTCATTTAAAAAACGTTCTGCAAGGAAGAACTGAAATAAGAATAAAAAATAATTTCTTCCAGATAAAGGGGTATTACAATCTGAAATAACATATAAATCTTTGCCTCTCTAAAATAAGAAAACTAAATACTTTGACCGTATAAAAATATGCAATAACAAGTAATCTGTGGAATATCTTTACCTAATGAAAAAATTAACTAAGTTAGTTTTTTCTTAGGTTTAGATTTCTTAGGTTTATTTTTTATAGAAACTGGTCTAAATATCAGTTTCTAGAAAATGCAAGGAAGAGCAAGACAAATAATATTATGTCATAAAGAAGTACTCAACTTTCAGCAACCCAGCCCAACTAGAAACAAACTGACAACAAGTTCTGCCTGGCTGAACTGGCATATTCAGCATCCTTGTCTTGACTAAATCTTAAAGGTCTATCACTACCAAAAACCTTACAAAGGCAAGAAGATGTGCATTTTTCTTCACGTGCACACACCAATGCAAGGACACAAGAATTACAAAGAATTATGAAATATGAAACCATCAAAAGTGCTAGTAAATCAATAATGGATATGGAGGAAATGGAGACCTATGAAATGACTGACAAAAAATTCAATAAAGAAAAATAATTTTGAAGAACTTCAGGGAACTCCAAGAATATATGAATAGAAAATTAAGTAAAAATTGAAAAAAGGCCATGAACAAAATAAAAAGTTTAACAAATTAAACAGTAAAAAATAGAAATCCTAGAGATAAGGAATACAAGTACTAAACTGAAAAAATCAATAGAAAGCTCTCATAGCAGATTAGGTCAAGCAAAAGAAAGAATCAGTAAGTTCAATTTTGTACAACCATTATGGAAAAGTGTATGGAAATTTCTGAAAAAAATAAAACTAGAACTTCTCAATTATTTAGCAATCCTATTATTGGCTACATATCCAAAGAAAATAGAATCAGTATGTCAAAGAATATCGACATTTCCATGTTTATTTCAGCATTATTTATTATAGCGAAGATAGGAAGTCAATCTAAGTGTTTCATCATTGAATAACTGGATAAGAAAACCTAGTATATATGCCAAATAAAATAATATTCAGCTATAAAAAAGAAGAAAATCCTGACATTGGAGACAACATGGATGAACTTGGAGAACATTATGCCAAGTAAAATAAGCCAGGTACAGGAAATCAAATACCACAGGATCTCACTTATATGTGAAATCTAAAAAAGTCGATCTTCTAAAAGTAGAGAGTAAAATAGTGGTTACTAGTGGGGTGGTTGGTGGGAGGTTGGGAGATATTGGTCAAAGAATATAAAATTTTAGTTAGGTACATGGAATAAGTTTAAGAAATCTATTATATAATATGGTGACTAGACTTAAAAAAAGTTCGAGGGAGGATTTAGAGAAAAGGGTCCAGAAAGCATTTTTAAGAAAATAATGGCTAAACATTTTCGACATCTGGGGAAATATGACAACATCCAGGTACAGGAAGCTAAGGGGTTTCCAATCAAATTCAACTCAAAATGGGGTTCCCCATATAATATGTTTACACTACAATCGAACTACCAAAAATTAAAGCCAAAGAAAGAATTCTAAAAGCAGCTAGAAATATGAAACCTATCCCATTCAAAGTAGTTCCAATACAGATATTAGTAGATTTTTCAGCAGAAAGCTGTAGGCCAGGAGAGAGTAGGACACTATATTCAAAGTGCTTAGGGTGCCATGCTGTTGGACTTCCCAGCCTCCAGAACCATGAGGCAAATAATATTTTATTAAAAAAAAAACATAGATTACCCAGTCTGTGGTATTCTGTTTTAGAAACAGAAAATGGACTAACACGTAGGAAAAAAAATATTTATGGCCTTGGTCTGGGCAATGATTTTTTAGATACATTCCTGAAAGCACAGGCAACAAAAGCAAAAATAGGTAAATTCAATAAAAACTGTGATGTGTTTATCAAAATGTTGAGAGTTCCAGTGTATCTATTAGAGAACAGAAAGAAATAAAGTACAGACTAGATACTCAACTTGAATACAGAGGATACAAAGATAAATAGCAAGGGAGCACTCTCCAAAAAAAAATAAAGAAAGAAAGAATAAAAGTAATGACAGAGATTAATGACATAAAGAAAAGCAATAATAAATAATAAATACACTCCTAAATTTTGGGTTATTTGAAATATTATTAATATTATTCTCAGAGATTGATAAGTGAATACAGTAGTGGAGATAAGAATTAACAAAATGTGAATTAAAAAAAGAAATTACTTTTGATACCAAACATATTTAAAATAATAAAACATTAAAAGCTGCTATAAAGTATAAAATTCTTATACAGGTGCATCTGTTAGTCAAGGTTCTCTAAATTGACAGAACCAAAATGATAGACAGATAGATGAATACATAGATAGATATAGATAGATAGATAGATAGATAGATAGATGTATGTGAGGGTATTTATTAAGGGAACTGGCTCATCAATTGTGGAGGCTGAGAAGTTTCGCAATAGACTGTGTGCAAGCTGGAGACCCTTAAAGGCCAGTGGCATGACTCTGCAAGCTTGATGGTCTCAGAACCAGGAAAACTGATGGTGTAACTTTCAGTTCACGGTTGAGAACCCAGAGGCTTACTGATGTAAGTTTTGGGGTTCAAAGGCCAGGGAGCCCAGAATTTATTTGTCTAATAACAGTAGAGAGGCCGGGCACGGTGGCTCACGCCTGTAATCCCAGCACTCTGGGAGGCCGAGGCGGGTGGACCACCTGAGGTCAGGAGTCTGAGACCAGCCTGCCCAACATGGTGAAACCTTGTTTCTACTAAAAATACAAAAAAAATTAGCCGGGCGTGGTGGCGGGCGCCTATAATCCCAGGTACTCGGGAGGATGAGAAAGGAGAATCGCTTGAACCTGGGAGGTCGAGGTTGCAGTGAGCCGAGATCACGCCACTGCACTCCAGCCTGGGCGACAAAAGAGAAACTCCATCTCAAAACAAGCAAACAAACAAACAACGACAACAACAACAAAATCACAGTAGAGAAAAAGCGTATCCCAGCTCTAGCAGACAGGTTGACACATTTACTTTTTCTCTGTTTTTGTTCTTTCTGGGTCCCCAGCAGATTGTGTGGTTCCTGCCTACACTGAGGGCAGCTCTTCCCCACCTCGTCCACTCAGGCTCACTTCCTAGTCTCCTCTGGAAACACCCACACAGATACCCTTACACACACACCCAAAAATTATGCTTTCTCAGCTTTTTAAATATTTCCTAATCCAACCAAGTTGACAACTAAAATTAATAATCACAGAATACTTTATTGAAATTGGACCATTACAAAATAGAAAATTTTATTATTTTAATAAATATTAAAGAAACAGAAATTACCTCCCTTTCCACAAGAAGAAAAGAGAAAGTCCCAGATACTTTTATAGATGAGGTATTTTGAACTTTTATGAAAGATATTATTTTTCTCTTACACAACGTTACAGAAAGTATAAATAAGAAAATTCTTTATTTCATTTTAAAATAAAATCAAACCTTCATTATACAACTAGACCAGCAGTTAAAGAGCCCATTTCAGTTATAACTAGATGTGAACATCCTCAATAAAATATTAGCTAACTGAATCCAATGACGTATTAAATGAACACTTTATGTTTCAATTAATAAGCTAATGAGAAAGAAAATCATTTGAATTATATCAGTAGAAGCAGGATTAATATTTGATGGTGTTAAGCCTCAATTATGGTTTTTAAAAGCCTTAGCAAACTAAAAATCAAAGTTAAAATCCTTATTTAAGACAGATAAAACTTTTAAAAATCTGTAGCAATGATTATCCTTAATAGAGATACTTCCTGTACAAATATTTTGTTTAAATGTCAGGGACAAAAGAACAAAGAATATCAAAATTAATAATAGATATATGCATAAGAAGAAAATAGATAATCTATTTTTATTTAGAAATGACAAATATGTGTGTTAAAAATAGATTTTAAAATTTGCAAAATAAGTGATTTCAGAATTTTTAATATGTAATTAATTCTAGCATATTTTAAATATAAAATCAATTATAAAAA
The DNA here is from genome assembly GCF_000001405.40 of Homo sapiens. Lineage (NCBI taxonomy): Eukaryota > Metazoa > Chordata > Mammalia > Primates > Hominidae > Homo > Homo sapiens. The sequence continues at coordinate 83,836,793 of NC_000003.12, forward strand.
TTATTATTTGTCCTAAAGATTAATACAAATAGTGTATATAATTAAACTATGAAACCAATAAGAAGAGTAAAAAGCTATAAAATATCTAAAAATAAAGCTTAAATACACAATTAACATCAAGTTCAGAATCTATAGTAAAAATTTTTAAATTTTATCAAAAATTACACATAAAAGTTTAACAACTAGAGAAACATTGCATGCTCTTGGATAGGAAAATTTAGTGTTGTAAATATTTCAACTGAAGTTTTCAGTAAGTTTATTGTAACTGCAATAAATATTGCAGTTAGACTTTTGCATAATTTAATACATATATTTTGCCTTTTGTATAAAAAGATACATTTCTCTGACAGCAGAGGAAAAAGGTTCAAAGATGAAGACTTGCTTATTGGATATTAAGACATAAGAGAGAGAGAGCGGGAAAGATGTTTTTGGGAAACCTGTAGATTATATATAGAATAGTGACAATGAACTTTGACATGTAATATGTACAAAGATAAACTCCTTGGGAATTCAAAAATTAAATGTCGAAGCTAAAATTAATCAACTTAAGATGAATTTATTAATATGTTAATTAAGTTAATATGATAATTAAGTTAATAAAGCCAATAATAATGCATACAATCTAGGTGTTCAAAATTTCAAAGTCAAAACCATGACTTTAGTTTAGATGAATCAGCATTGGCATGTCTGCTTGAAAGCTGGCTGAATATATATACATACATATACACATTAATATACATATACAAACACACATATCTTCAGTGAATCTCGAAAACATAGCAAAAATATCTAATTTGTTTTTCTAAGAATTACCATCCACTCTTTTATACTATAAGCATCATATTGCATCAAGAAAAAAATAAATTTTTTATACATACTATATTAACTACCTAAAAGAATCGAATAGCTCTAAAATATAAATTTCTAAATATTTTAAATGTATGAAATGCAAATGAATAATATACTGTTTTCTAATCCAAAACTGACAACATAAAACCGAGAATTTATTCTTATGTTTTTGAGGTCACATATACTCTCTTTTATTTTTATACTAGTAAAAACTATAATGTAATTCAAACAAATCAGACTTCTAAAAATATTGTGGTTTCTTTATTGTTTTCCCTCCAAAAAGCTACTTTGTGATTCATTTATACCAATAATATGCCTTAATTTTAAGCTGTGTTCATTTCTACTACATGTCAAAAGACTTATGGATGGAAATGAGGCAAGAGTGAAGATTTCTTATTATCCCAGACTCCTGCCCAAGTGAACTTCTCCCCATGACATTGCCACAGTGTGTTTCCAGCTCCTCTTCCCACATTTCTATCTTAATATATGTGTAGGTAGCTTCTCCAAACAATAATACAAACAGCTGTGGAATCATATTGTTGGGGTTTGATAATAACTATTTCAATTAAAAATTTTGTGACCATGGAGAAGTCATTTTAAACATTTCATGCATAGTTTTTTTTTATAAGTAAAATAAAGGTAATGTCAGCTCTGATCTTAAAACAGAGTGTGTTTTAAATCAGGGGTCCCCAGTCCCTGGCCACAGACAGGTACCAGTGCGTGGCATGTTAGAAACCTGGCCACAGAGCAAGAGGTGAACTCCTCGAGCAAGCATTATCGCCTGAGCCCTGTCTCCTATCAGATCAGCAATGGCAATAGATTCTCACAGAAGCAGGAACCCTATTGTGAATTGCATATGTGAGGGATCTAGGTTGCACATTCCTTATGACAATCTAATGCCTTATGATCTGAGCTGAAACAGTTTCATCCAAAAACCCATCTTAACTGCACCCCTCCCCACACCGTGGTCCATGGAAAAACTGTCTTCCACAAAACTGGTGCCTGATGCAAAAGGTTGGGGACCGCTGTTTTAAGTGAACTCTGGTCTCTGGTTCCAGAAAGGTTGGGGACTGCTGTTTTAAATGAACTAATACTTATAGAGTACTAGTATTTGCATGGGACATTGCACAAACTGAGACAGTATTGACTGTTATTAAATATTTCTTCTCTCCACTGTAATAATAGTTTGCATCATCTACTTTCTAGAATGGTGGGTTTTGGCGTCTGGTGAGCATAAAAATTACCGACAGAAGTGTGCTAAAAATAGATTCTTGGGTTATAACTTAAACGTACTTAATCAAATCTATTTTCTCATTTATGGCTCAGTTTAATTTGTTTTTTGTTTTGTTTTTGAGATGGAGTCTCGCTCTGTCGCCCTAGCTGGAATCCAGTGGCACAATCTCGGCTCACTGCAACCGTTGCTTCCCAGCTTCAAGCGATTCACCTGACTCAGCCTCCTGAGTAGCTTGAACTACAGGGCACGCCACCACGCCCGGCGAATTTTTTTGTATTTTTAGTAGAGACGGGGTTTCACTGTGTTAGCCAGGATGGGCTGGATCTCCTGACCTCTTGATCCATCCGCCTCGGCCTCCCAAAGTGCTGGGATTACAGGCGTGAGCTACCGCGCCCGGCCCTGCTCAGTTTAATTTTTAAGCAGCTCCCAAAGTGATTCTTAATCACTAATGTTTAAGTGCTGCCCAAAGGGAGGTGTCTTATGCAAACAAACCACCTGCAGTCATTTATGACATTAACCCAGCGATACTGTCCCTGAAATTAGTCCCATCTGTAAGGCTGTAATCTGTATAGCCGACCTCTCTTTCTGCTCTCCTGAGAAGTTTTACTTAAAGCCTTGTAACCTTGCTTCACATGCACAATGCAAAGGTAGGGGACAATGTATTTTTCAGGAAGAGAAAAAAATGTCACTACTGAAGTTTTTTTTTCTATTTATAACTTTATATTTCTATGTGCCGATAGTACCCTCTGTAATATGGATACAGTATATTTATTTATTCATGTTTTTTTTTTCTGATTTTTTCTAAGAAGAAGTAGCTTCCATGGCTTCTGTAACCTTAAAATGAAAAGCAGCCATTCTTTTTTTTTTTTGAGACGGAGTCTTGCTCTGTCGTCCAGGCTGGAGTGCAGCGGCACGACCTCAGCTCACTCACTGCAAGCTCCGCCTCCCGGGTTCACGCCATTCTCCTGCCTCAGCCTCCAGAGTAGCTGGGACTACAGGCGCCTGCCACCACGCCCAGCTAATTTTTTTGTATTTTTAGTAGAGACGGGGTTTCACCGTGTTAGCCAGGATGGGCTCGATCTCCTGACCTCATGATCCGCCTGTCTGGGCCTCCCAAAGTGCTGGGATTACAGGCGTGAGCCACCGTGCCTGGCCGAAAAGAGCCATTCTTAGAGATTTGCTTAGCTTATGAATAATTTTATAAAAGAGTGATGAATGCTAGTGTCTTTATTCTCATTACTTTTACAAATCACATTGCTAAAGTTGGATGCAAAACTGAGTTAGAAGCTAAAGACACGTAGAATGGAATTTTTGTCCCTCTTTTTAAGAGAAAGTGACTCAAGATTGTTTTTCTCCTTAGCAATTTCAGCTTGTAAAGTACTGACATAAAATCTCCTCAAACAGAACTTTAAAATCTCCCATTATTAGGACAAAAAAAGAAACTCATAGAGATAATCCTCTTTCAAACTGTAACAATTTTTGCCTGAGAAGTAAAACAGTGAATATCAGTTCTGAAAACGGTTTTTAAATAATGTCTTTGTCTTAATTTCATAATGTTTTGCAAAATATATCTCAACTATGAATAAAACATAAAACATTTTTGTAGAAAATAATTGAGAGTTTTATTTGATTTATATAGATGAAATCCCAGTAAGTTACTAAATGTTTTCAGAATCATATTTCCCTTCCTTTTTAAAAATTCACATTTATTCTGAAGACTGCAATTGTTGAGGGTAGAAAATGTCAATTTCTAAAATACTTGTGTCCTGGGCAAACATACTGACTTTCAGAGGAAGCATGCCATCTTCGTTCTTTCACAATCCTGTTATCAGCTTGGGCTTAGTTCAAGTGGTGGGAAAAGGGATATTTGAATTGCCAGTTCTTAACAGCAGCTGAGCACATTCATGGCACCCTTAAGATAATACGATATGTATTAATGTGAGAAGCTAGAGATTCATCCCTAGGGAGATTAGGCCAATGTGCTGCAGGAGACAAAGGAGATAACACAATACTTAACACCCTCAAGAGAGCTTTTGGAAGGCAGCAAACATAAAAGCAAAAGTAATCCCAAGAGAGCCCGCATTATCCTATTCTTGTAGAAAACCTTAGTGCACCTATACCTTGAATACTGCAAGCACTTCTGGTCATCACATTTAAGAATGAGTACTGGAGAAGGTCCAGGGAGATAAAAGTAAGCAGTGAAAGGATATATAAAGGCAATTGAACCTAGTGTTGCTCTGATGATGGGGAGAGAAACAAGAAAAACAGAAATGAAGTAAGGCACAATTTTAAAATATAATATTTTAAGACGCAAACCTACAAGATTTAAGGATGTAAATTAATAAAAACAGATGAGTACATTACACAGAACTTAACAAAACATTGGATTTTCTCACTGCAATGCATAATCCAAGAAAATTTGTAGCTTTAGGAAGGGCTTTGGAAAATACACAAATGGTAGCATGCAAAATAAATTCACGATGTTTAAGTAGGGTGCCCATATACTTTTATCATCCAAACAGGGATGATATTTAGAATAATGCAATGGTTAGAAATAAGTATGTAGAGACAAGTGTAAAACAGGAGAGTCCCTGACAAACTGAGAAGTATGATCACATTATATTTAGTAATATATTCTTTGGTTTTTTAAGTTAATGTGAGGAACAAAACATATCTGCTCTGCTACAGCATAGAATAATGTTCTTGTGGCTACTGCTAAAGTAACTTCTGCCTTAAATATAGGCATTAGAGATGGTTACCTGAGAAGTATGATGTTTTAAAATGAAATAGAGCTAAGCTATATATCCTCTCACTTGGAAAACATGGATTTTTAAATTGCATCCTTAGAGTGACATTCACTGAAAAGAGAAGGGATTCTCTATTTTCTACCCTGTTTTAAATAATTGTATTCTTGGAGTGATAACCTATTCAATCAATTCAATATTGTATGCTTATAACTTTTAAGTGTGTTTTTATTTCTGTAGGAAGAACCTAGGGAAAAGAGAATAGTAAACTCTGGGAAATCTGCAGTAGAGTATGATTCTTAAGAAGCATTGCATTGAAAAACATCAGTCTAAGATGCATGACCAGATTCCAGGGAAGAGCTCAAACTTTAGATATTTTTATTTATTTATTTGTTTATTTATTTATTTATTTTTATTTTACTTTATTTTTTTGTGACAGAGTCTTGCTCTGTCACCCAGGCTGCAGTGCAGTGTCACAATCCTGGCTCACTGCAACCTTCTCCTCCCAGGTGGAAGCAATTCTACTGCCTCAGCCTCCTGAGTAGCTGGGACTACAGGCATGCACCACCATACCTGGCTATTTTTTAATTATTATTGTTATTTTCTAGTAGAGACAGGGTTTCACCATGTTGCCCAGGCTGGTCCTCCTGACCTCAGGTAATCCACCCCCCTTGACCTCCCAAACTGCTGGGACTACTGGCATGAGCCAAAGTGCCCAGTCTTCTTAAACTCTAGATATTTCTCAGGAGATATGTTAATTCTATTTAAAAAGTACTTTGGAAGATGCAGTATGTTAGCAATAAGTGATTTGGTGAAAATATACACAAATATAATAACATGTCCTGTAATAAATTAATAAAATGAATGATTAAATAATTATAATTTAAAGCAAAAACATTCATGTAATATATCCTATATATGCAAGAGCCTATTAAACATTTAAGCTTGAAAATCACAGAAGCCTCCAATCACATGTTCAAAATTTACTCAGCTTCCAAAGTGAGTCAGCCAAGAAGAGAATTCCAGACTCTGAGAAAGTTATATCCTTGATATAACTTTCTTGCTAATTACTCTGTCTAATAATTCACCACATTCTGTTGACATGACTTAAAAAAAAAACGCTCTCATATGTGAGTCTCTATCCACTTTCACCTTCAACTACAAAGAAGCTACCAGCATCTCTTGCCTGAATTATGACAATAGCCATTTAAATAAATATTCTTCTGTATATGCATGTTTTCCCAAATTCATTGTATACTCTGCAGCCAGTGCAATCTTTTAACATAAATAAAGATAATCATATCAATCTTCATGATAATTCATTGCTGTAATAATAAAGACTAAGATCCTTCCTCCATACTGCAAGACCATGAATTGTCTGTTCCAGCCTGACTCTCCAACCTCATTCCAGCTACTCTTTCTCTTAGCCTCTTTAGTCTAGTTTCACTAGCCTACAGGAATGTTGGTATATTTTCATACCTCTATCTGTGCATATTATCTCTGCCTGAAATTCTACCATACTATCTCTACTTCATATCAAATCATATAGTACCATTACTTGTATTCATTCCTCAAATATGAGCCCAGAAATTATTCACTGACTCCCCAAAATCAAATGATGCCTCAAATATCTCTCTGGAGTTTTTCTTTATTATTTATAAAAAATTTATGTTTTTTTTCAAGTTTATTTTAAAATCAGGGGTTTCCCATGGAGGTTTGTTACAAAAGTATATTGCACGATGCTGAGGTATGGAGTATGAATGAATTTGTCACCCAGTTAGTGAGCATAGCACCTAGTAGATAATTTTTTAACACTTGCCCCTCCCCTTCCTGTTTGTAATTATGTTTTTAAAGATTATTTGATTAATTTATGTTATTATTAGACACTTAGCTCAATGCAATAAAGATTATGTCTATCAATACATGTAAATAATTAATTTTGAATAAAAGTGTATCTCCAGTGCCTATATCTCCAGTGTTTATTTCATTGCTCAATGTACTAAGGTTGTAAATAAATAGCTTTGAATAAAAATTGCCTCTAAATAAGGCCACTAACAACTTCTCCCTTCCCTGTACACACATTTGAGCTTGCATTAAGCAATGGGATGCCGCACAAGTGATATTCTACAGCTTCCAAACCCAGGCCTTCAAAATATGGCAGCTTTAATTTATCCTATTTTGTAAAACCAGCAATGCTGTAAGAAGATACAAACTATCCTGCAAGCTAGAGTGAGAGAAAACAAGAGGAAGCCCTGGAGAGTAAGATGCCACAACAGAAGAAGGCAGCCATGTGGAAGAACACCGGAATGCCAAACATGTGAGTAAAGCCTTGTTGGACTTTTCAGCCTAACCCAGTTGCCAGCTGAATACAGCCAAATACATTTTCCAGCTGATGTCACAGGAAAAGACTAAACACCTGGAGAAGCCCTGTCCCAAATCCTCATTCAATAATCATATGAAATAATAATTTGTTGGCTTACAGCACTAAGTTTTAGGGAAATTTCTTACACACCAATTGGCAATTAAAATAAATAATTAAGACTCATTATTCAAATTATCACAATGGTGCAATGTGTTTTTAAAAGTAGTACTTAAGATTTATGAATTTTAGAGTGGATATAGGAAGTAGTGGAATATGAAAGTTGAAATGTAGAGCCTCTTTAATGTTGAATGAACAATGGGCATAAAATAGTGTTTCTTGGTAGAATAGTGATGGTATTCACTATTCTTTAGCAACACTACTCTGTCTACCATGATACTGATAGATTTTTTCTTTTTATTTAGATAACATTTTATTTTTATAGGACTTGGTAAAATACATACAAGATAAAGATATATACATAAACATAAATTGTATACATATACTATACATATGTGTGTATATATACATATATATGTGTGTGTATATATACATATGTGTGTGTATATATATATGATATATGAAATGTTTTGATACAGACATGCAACCTGTAATAATTACATCATAGAGAATGGGGTATTTATCTTCTCAAGCATTTATCCTTTGTGTTACAAATAACCCAATTACGCTCTTTTAGTTATTTTTCAATGTACAATTATTATTGGCTATAGTCACCCTGTTGTGCTGTGAAACAGTAGATCTTATTCATTCTTTTTAAATTTATTCTAAATTTTAATTTCCGTGGGTACATCAGTGTATATATTTATGGGGTACATGAGATATTTTGATACAGGCATACAATGCATGATAATCAATTGTGCAGTTCCTCTCATCTTAAACATGGATCATGTTTCCCTCCTTTAGAGTTCTACCTTTAGAGTACTACCTCCATAAACAATCTTAACTTGTTCTCTCAGGAGACAAACAACATACATGCTACCACTTTTAATCTGTCCACATTTTCTATATTCTGGCACAAACATTAACAAGTAATTATCTGATTTGGGATTTTTTTTTGGTAATAGCTTCTCTATTTTCATATTAGAAAGAGTGTTTCTTGAAAGAGTCCACAATTCTTATTCTGTACATATGGAGTCAAATATATCTTAGAATTCAACATTTTGAGATTGTAGAACTTTTATATTATCTCTTTCTCTCTCTCTGTCTCTCTCTCTCTCTATATATATATATATCTATAGATCTAGATATCTATCTATAGATATAGATCTATAGCTATATATAGATATATAGATATAGATATCTATATATCTATATCTATATATCTATATATAGTTATCTATATCTATCTATATCTATAGATATCTATCTATAGATATCTATATATATCTAGATATCTAGATCTATATCTATATATAGATCTATGATATAGATATAGATATAGATCTATATATCTAGATATCTATATATATCTATAGATCTAGATATCTAGATATATAAATATCTATATATATCTAGATATCTAGATCTATAGATATAGATATAAATGTAGAGATAGATATAGACAGATATAGATCTATATATAGATATAGACAGATATAGATCTATATATAGATCTAGATCTGTAGGTCTAGATCTATATATAGATCTATATCTGTCTATATCTATCTCTACATCTATATCTATATCTATAGATCTATATATCTATATATTTATATATCTATATATGTATAGATATCTATATATAGACATATATCTATATATCTATAGATATCTATAGATATAGATCCCATCTATCTATCTATCTATCTATCTATATAGATCCATGGGACCTGGGGGAGTACTCTATAATAAAGCATATTAATATTACTGTTGCAAATATATGAATATTCACATAAAGTGAGATTCATAAAGACTATAAATAAGTTTAAGTGAACTTTTCTCCCAGCATAATTTGGGAAAGATCATGTTTTGCTTTCAGATCAAGTTATTAAAGATATTTTATATTTTAGCCTATTTCAGATATCAAAACAATGGTTAATAATTGTGTTTTATCCCTTGCTGGATCCAGTCTCTCCCTAAGGTAGCCATTTCAATCTCACTAAATCAATTCTCCACCTTTTTTTTTTAATCGGAGTTGTATGGTTTCCAGTCATGTCCTTTTACCAGGTAAACAGTTAAACCTTCCTTTTTGCAACCTTACCTTGAAAAACATATTTGATATGTAAATATCTTGGATATATCCCTACTTTTCCCATTTATATTAGATTATAGATCTAATAGATTTATCCTCTGAAGCTTTAGGTCTCATTTGAAGTATGCCCCCCTGCTCTTTTATTACTTTTTGATTTTTCTGCCTGTCCCCATCTAGTACTGACACTATTTCTTGAACCACTATCATTCTTGAACCACTATCTATTCATTTCAAGTATCCTATAATTTCTTTGTCTTTTGTTCTACTTCCTTTGCACTGTGACTAATTATCAAATCATTTCAGAAGTACTGTCCTCTGTGAAGATACCTTGGCCTTAACATTGTTATTTGTCTTTCTCTATCTCTTTTTCAGTATTGGTTCTATCTCCAGCATGGTAGGGTGATCTGTTACCTTTTATATTTAAGAACAGTGTTTCTGAGATTGAAGTCAGAGGAAAGCAGTTCGATGCGTGTAGTTCCAAGGCTGAAATTTTCTAATGAACAAGACCACACAGATAAATCATTAGACTGAGTAAAATTGTTAAATTTACCAATGCTTGTAAAGGTTATAAAGATAATTTCCTTTAAATTGGGCTTTAAAATTAACTAAAATCGAATAATTTAGTTCAAAGGTTTTGGAGTCCAGAAGCTAAACCAAAAGCCTCTTCATCAATCATTTAGGCCTGAATATTCTACTCCCTCTTTTACTTCCCAGTTTCCCCATATTATGCACCAGATGGTACAGTCTCTTAGATAGCCTTATTAAAACTATCTCTGTACTTATTGCAAATTATGAACAAACCCAACACCAAGACAAGTAGCAAAAAACCCAAAAGTCAAATTACCACTTTTCTTGTTGATACAAACTAGGGTAAAGAATGGAGCTGAATGAAACGCTAAAGTGTCTTTTTAAAAAACCAGCCAAGAGTTAGGTCTCCTTAAGCAGAAATGGAGAAAGAGAATTATATCATTTTCTATGTCTGCATAACAAATTACTGGAAACTGAAAGCCTTAACCAATAGACATTCATTATCTCCCAGTTTTTGTGGGTCAGGAACCAGGCATCTCTTAACTGGCTTCTCTGCTCAGGGCTCTCAGGTAGCCACCATGCTGCATATTCATCTAGAGGCTTAACTAGAAAAGAATTTGCTTCCCAGCTTAGTAATATTGTTGGCAGAATTTATTTTCTTCCAGCCATATGACTATAGATCCCCATTTCTTAGTGGCTATTGACAAGAAACCACCATTAGTTCTTAGAGGCCATGACAGCTTCCTGCTTCTTGGCCCACTCTGTAAGAAGTTTACAGCACGGTTCTTTACTCCTGCAAGACTAGAAGGAAAATCTCTTGCTCCAGTCTGCCAAGTCAGAGTCTTATATAATGTACTATAATTATGGGAGTGATAGTCCATCACAATTGCCACGTTATATTTGTTAGAAGCAAGTCACAGATTCTGTTAAGACTCAAGAGGAGGGGAATCTATACACAGACGGGACTCATTGAGGTCACCTGAAGGTGATTCTATCACAGAACTTATGGTCAGTTATTCATGGTACCAACAAGAGAAAATAAACTGAATCATATCAAGCAAACAAACAAAAATATCTTCCCCAGAAACATATCATACATTCCTGGTCCCAAAGTCTACTCTGAAGCTTCATCAACATTATATAAACTATTTTGATTATGTTGGTCAGTATTATGCATCAACTTGGATAGGCTATAGTTCCCAATTATTTAATTAAACACTAATCTAGGTGTTTCTGTGAAAATCATTTGTATATGTGATTAACGTTCATAATCAGTTCACCTAAAGTATGATAGGTTGTCCTAGAATAAGCCTGATTCAATCCATTCAGAAGCTTTAAGAACTAAACAGGTTTCCCTGAAGAAGAAATTTCACCTACAGATAGCAGCTTCAATTCATTCCTGAAAGTTTTATCCTGTCCTTCTTGATGGCCCTATTGATTTCAGACTTGCCGTATTCTCCACAATCGCATAACCCAATTCCTTGTAATAATTCTCTCTATATATAAAATCTTCTCTTATTTCTGTTTCTCTGGTTGAACTCTGACTGATACAGTAATAAATTAAAATTTTTAAGACATTTGGCATTATTATAGTGCCATCTTTTATATAAAATACCACAATGTAGATAAATGGCATAATATGACCAAAAACACCCTTGATTTAAATAATTTGATAGGAATGTTTTCCAGACAGTTTCAAACTGAGTTACAAAGAGAGAATGATAACCTTTCATCTTTGTATCGTCCCACTGTAAAAGAAAGATACTGCTTACAAACAGAAGCAAACAGCCTGAGAACAGCCACCCCAGGCCCTGTATGGCCCTCTCAAGCAATGATGAATCCACACTGCAGTACAAGTGTGATGATGTACTGAACCATGAAGCAGTATTTTGGCAGTCTTGGGGAATCAAAATAATACAATCTGGGTATTTTTTTAATCTGTGGATTTACTTAATTCAGAAATAGATTTAGAAAAAGAATGAATAGACTGCATAACTCCCAAATAATTATCAATAAATATATATTTTCTTACAACGGAAGTTTTTGTAAGTATTGCACTGAAATAAGTTAAACTTTACTGATACAGATGAAGAATTAAGTGTTCCATTAAACCATAATACTTATAAAGAAAATGTATATAAGCATCAATAGATAGATAAAAATATATAATTTTAGAAGATATTTTAAGGATGTATGTTTTTGTTTATTTCAGCATAAAGACATATGTTTGATCAAGATCCAAAAATTTAAATTATAGCCATAATAACTAAACGCCCCACTTGAAGGAGAACCCATATATTGTTTAATTTTGAGAAATGTAAATTCCAGTAAGCCTTTCAAGATTACTCTGGGTAAAATATATGCCTAGATAACAGTTGTTTTTCATTGCTTTTATTGTTGTTGTTTTATATAAGATTATAATTATGAGTCAGATAAATATCACAGGACTCCTGCTGAAAATTATTACTTGAGATTTAGTATAGCCAAGCTGTCAGTTTATATAAGCTGCTGGAAAGCAAAATAAAAAGATGTAGAAGGAAAAATGTGTGGGTTCTGTTGTTATGGCTCATAAAAAAGTTAGTTAGAAATCTAAAAATATTAGGTGGCAAAGACTCTATTTATAATGTAAAGATAAAAACCACAAAAACTTGAGTTTCTAGGTAGAAAAATCAGCCAAAAAGTCAGAGTTTTGACATCTAGGTGATTGTTTGGATAGTATTTCCTTGAGAGAAACAATAAAACAAGAAAGTAGACTGTTGATGCAATGGAGCAGAGAAAATCATTTCCTAAGTATGTGGTTCTTGTGGGACCTGCTAAAATTGAGGGTCATTATCCCAGGGCTGTTTCTACAGGAAATACAGATTGTGAAGACTTCTACATAGATGTGTCATGACTTGCAGGCTAAATATGGTGAAAAGCAATGCGGGGAATCTGGAAATGAAAACACAGCATCAGGGCAATATCCAAAATTTAGGAGGTCCACAGAATAAATGACTGCATCCTGCCATCCAGAAAAATAGAGGCAAAACCGGTAAATCGAAGTGGTCCATGCTTATCAGTGAGACTACCTCAGGCTGAGAAATTCTTATCACCTATTTTTAAATCACAATCCAGTAATTTCTAGATTCTGGCAAATTTAGGGCAGCAGCAACTTTTATACTCAACATACATTCATCAAGAAAAAAAGCACACACATTGTGAAAAGAATCAAAAGCAAGCATAGAAAAAAATATACCACAATTTTGCCAATAGCTGAGGCTGATAGTTTTATCTGGCCAGAATAAATTTATTTACTGTGAATACACTGTGGAAACTTTATAGTCCTAATTTGGGTCCCTATAAAAGCACATCAAAATCAAGAAAGGAGGCTTGAAATAAATTCAACTAATTGCCGTGTAAACATTTAATGACTATTCACATTTGTGTATGATATACAGTCATTTAGAAAATTATCATTTCGTACATTCATTATGTTTTCTTTTGTATATTTATTTGTTCATTCATTAATTATATAAATAGTTATTGTGCACAAAATATCTCCAAGGCACTAAAACACAAGGAATGAAGAGATGGTCCTTGCTATCAAAGGTTGATATTCTTAAGAAAAAAAGATAAGTGAATAGGTAATTAGAATTTATTATAGAAATCACAATATTAGGAATAGGTAAGTATCAGGAAGGCTTCCAGGGGTCATTTGCATCTGATCTGAAGTGTAAAGATTGATCAGCAAAGCCCTAGATCTTATTTTGGTGAGGACAACATTCCAAATATAATTTAAAAAACAAATGCAGGAAGATGAAAAATAACTTACTAGGTGCAGAGGCTTAGAGGCATTTTATAATTCCCAGAGCATAAAATTAAAGACCGTGACGATTCTAGAGAAGCAAACAGGGGCTAGAACCACATGTTAAGAGGCTTGACATTATCCTGGGGCCAATCTGGAAAAGCAGATCTGCAGGTGTTAATAGATCTTATAAAGGAATACAAAGAGTTCATTGTTAAGTCAATTTGAGAAATACAAATCAAACAAGATTAAGCAGGCATTCTTTGAGTTTTTAATATATCTGTGTGCTTTGTAAATTACCAAACATTATCCCTAAACTCATTTGTTCAAGGTAGTTTTTTACAAGGAATATCTCACAGGACTAAGATTCCACTAAAAATTATCCTGAAGAGTTCATATGTGGAAATAACAAGAGCGGATTTGCAAGTTAGAAATATCTCCCTGGGGATTTTTGTGGAGGCTTGGTTAAAGGTTAAAATAAATGGATGAAAGAAGGCCAGTTAATTGGCTAGACCAGGCAAGAGATAATGAAGTACCACAGGAGCAGTAAAATTAGAGAGGAACAAGTGAAATATGTTAAGGAATTGAAATCTGTAAGATTTGTGTCTGGATGAAAAGGTAAGAGGAGAAAAAGAAATCAATTTCCATACTTCTGGGTTTGTAGACTAAGTGACTGAGAAAGGTACGGACCACCAAGTAAGATTTAAAAATATAGAATCTTTTGGGAGAGAAGTGATGAGTTAGGATTTTGAAACATAGGGCATGTAAAGACCACTGGTAATTTCAATAAGCTATATTTACAGAAACCTGAAGCTCATGGAAAGATATGTCCCATAAGAGAGAAATTCTGACATCAGTAGCTTTGGCTTTGTGTAGAAATCTTCAGTGAAAAATTTCATCTGTGATCTCTGTTTATATTACCTCTTCCTATTTACACGATGGTATCAATTTTCTCATCCATGGTTCTTAAACCAATTTGTTTATACTTGAACACATGCACACACACACACACACACACACACACACTCACACAGACCTTCTATCTGTAAAATTGGTAAATGTCTTACCTCGAAATAAGCATTGGTATTTTTCAGAATCAGGTAAATTGGCTTTCAGTAACATGTAATCCACAAATATCAAAAGATCCCAGAGTATTGCTCATTGTGAGTCCAGGCAGGTGAGGTGATGGTTTCGATCCCAAATACTCTAATTTTGTGGCATCTCCATATCCATAAGTGTTTTCCCTTTTACTGTGACCTGGGGAAAACAAGCATGGAGAATCTAAAACTGGTTTTTAAAAACTAAATGCTTCCACTTAAAAGTGAAACATAAGTTCCAATTACAAGGCAATTCACTATGCCTCCTATAATTTCAAAAAGATGGGAAAATGCAACAAAAGAAAAAAGAACCAGAAATATTGGTGAGTAGCAGGAGACACTATTCTAAATTAACTAATCAGCTAATTATTATTTTAGGGTCTAGCATATTTGTAGCACTTTGATATAGTGTTACATATAAATGATAAAACGTAAGTTTACTTAAAGCTGTTTCCAATTCCCCCCTCAAACACCAAATAAGACTCTAATAATGGATAATTACACAAAGTTGACACCTAGAATTTGCTATGGAGGGTATCTTACCTATTGCTGGCACTTCATTCCAGACTTCTTAGGTAGAATCTCAGTGGAAGAGAATAATACGAGTACTACCTACAAATTGTGTAAGACCTATAAATGAATACTACCTACAATGAGTACAGCCTACAAATGAGTACTACCTACAAATGTGAATGTATAAAAAAAAAAGATGTTAAGGAAAAGTAATTATCTACTGGATGCTCTATGTTAGAAGAATCACATTTACCCAATAAGTGCTCTATCACCAAAAAAATTAGCAAAAAAATAGTACAATACCTTCCATGTTCCACAACCACTCATGAATATCAGTCTACAGTCTAGATTATAGAAGACAGATCTTTGCTAACATAATTACAAATGAAATCAGGTATTATGTGAAGATGGAAGATAATTTTTCAAATGTGTTACAATTAATACATAGTTATTTTGTACTTAAGAAAAAAATCAAAATGTGTGTATTTAAATAAGTTTTTAGTTTTCTCTCCTAGGTTCTGCCCTTGTAAGAGAGAAGCTAACAGAATCATTACGCTACATATTGACTCTAAGGCAAGATTAACAAATTTTGCTTCTAGAGATTCCTCCACTGGCCTTAGCTTCTGTATTTCACAGAATCATTTTCATTTTAGGAAACTGGTGTTATAAAGGGTAATGTGCCCTCATGTGATTTCTCAAACAAATGAGTGTTTTTAAAATATCACTTTGTAATAATAAAAATATACTCATGAACTTGAATTATTGTGCTGTTTATAACTATTCTCTTGGTGTGAATTACTTTGCAACAATTCATGGCCTGCACACTTGGGTTAATTAAATTATTCTTATCCTTACAAAGTGCACAAATGAAGTAGAATTATTTTTAAATCTGTCATTTTAGGGGAAAGAGTCTGATTACTATTTGATTCAGTGGCATGGAGAAATGAATTTAGCCACAGGCAGCACAGCTCTGAGACCAATGAGAATATTGGGGAAGGTGAAACTAAGAAGATTTTAAAAAGAAAATACTTTCTGACTTTAAGCCTGTCTCCCCAAATCATTAGGGACAGAATAATGCCACATCCTCTAGTATTTGTTTTGTTTGTTTGTATGAGAAAGTCAAGGTGATAGTAAGTGAAGATCCCCCTGCTTCCTGAGTTCTACAAGCAACATGCAAATGTCAGGTTTAAAATAGTATGCTATATTTTAAAATCTTAGTAAGTTTGATATGCCATTACAGATCATTTTAAATGCTCATAGTTACAGTAATGTATCTTTGTTAAAAATATCGCTCTTATTTTTAGCTAAATTTGTACAGTATACAAGAAAGAAATATATGATCACTCGAAAGTGATAAACTATCCTATTCTCCAAAGATCTATCTCATATAAGAATTAGAAGCCTGGATTATCTCATTAACCTTAAGAAATGGCATGTTGTAATGATGTCTGTAGTTTAGCATTACACAAAAAATATACTCTCGAATACAAAATATATGTCATTATGATTAATATCACATATGTTTAAAAGTTATTTCAGAATAGGAGACTTGTTTGCTAGAAATGTAGCATTTAACTGAAGTACTGCATATCCAACTTCTATTATCCATGCACTCACTCAAGATCCAAACCAGTGCTTAAGTATTTTATTCATCATCTTGTGGGAGCCGAGACATCTATATTAATTAACATAAAGTGGGAGAGACATATTTAATACTAATAGCAGATTGTTTTAAAAATAGAGGCACAGAGCAGATAACTATTTCTTTCATGCGATTTCTGGCATTTCTTCATCCATGTAACTGCCCTTCATTTCATTAGCAATAAAGAGCAAAACTCCTAGATATCAAAATGATAAATTTCTTTCACTCAGAGTATCTTTCTTGCTCTCGAATACACTATACACTCAGTAAAAGGGCATTATTTCCTAGAAATGTGAGAGTTAAATTTGTTAAGCATCATGATACGGGTGTTGTAATGAACACCATGCTGTATTATCATGACTTCAATAAGATCAAATGCTGCTTAGGCATCTGAGATTCCTGAAACAGAACTGAGAGGATCACAAGGATTAAAGACATATGAAATGTTAAATCTTTAATCATTTTTCACACATTTTATGGCTAGCCTATCCTTTCTCACAACTCAATGAAGTTGAGACGATGACAAGTGGAAAATAGTCAACTAATTAAATTTCAGCCTTTCAAAAAGGTCAAAATAGTACAGTATATTACTATACTTCACAGAATAAATGAAGCATGCAAATGCCAATACTTCATGCCGGTGACAAAACCAGAAAAATATATGAGAGAAAATGGAGCAAAATTGTCTCATTGCTTCAAGGTGTGGCAGTCAAAATTTAGCTAGGATTTAAATTTCATAGTGAGTTATTTGCTCTAAAACACAAAAGGTTGCTTTTGGTCTTATAACTGTATCTTGAAAGTTACTTCTGGGTTGTACTTCTTGAATATATTTTGCTATAGACTATAAATGTGAGCCAAAATCTCCCTTAGCTACATGTTCCAAAAGCTTTCTTACACTGTCTTTAACAATAAGCTGAATTTCATCTTTTGTCCATTTAATGAACAATCACACTTTATCAGTATGGTCATAAGGGACAAAATAGCCTACATAAATAACATCAAAAAATAATCCCCCAAACGGATTGTTTTGTATATATATAGTCACATATATACAATTTATATTATACACACATAATTATTAGTGTGTGATGTTTTTGATATTAAAGAACAAAATGCACTAGATATGAATGCACCTTTTATCCTTGCTGCTTTTCATGCTATTCTGCAGCAACCTAAATGCCACCCATCTCCCATCCTTCAAGGCTCAGTTTTTGTCTCAATATTATCTTAAAAAATAATATTCTAATGATTATTTCCTTTATTTAAAACTCTTGGTTACAGTCAGTCTCAACAAAATTATATGTTATTAGTAATAAGATAATGCAAGTAAAGCACATATCACAGGGATTGGCACAGACCAGATGTTTTTAAAAAAACATGGCCTCTTATTGGAAATAGGTTTTGAATCCTGACCTGCATTAGCTAAAAATGGCAATCTCACTCTTTCATAACTATATATTATCCATAATATTATTAACCCTCTCCATTAAGCATCAGTTTTTACATGCATAAAATGATCAAAATGAAACCTATTTCAATGGGTTATTGAGGTGATTATATTTGATAATGTTTAAGGTGCTTAACACATTTGATACATAATCAGTGTTCAATAAAGATTTGTTTTCTTTCTACCATTTTCATATAACTCCACTGTCTATTTAATAATTTCAATTAGCTGAATTCTCTCAGGCTTCTGAATGTGTGGAGAATTCAGGAAAACTCCACTGTATTAATTCCTCACTATTGCTGTAACAAAATCCCACCAACTTGGTGGCTTAAAGCAACATAAATCCATGATCTACTGACCTACAGTTATCAAGAACCTACAATTCTGTAGGTAGAAGTCTGATATAGGTCTTGCTAGGCAAAGATCATGATTTTGGAAGTGTGTGGCTCCTTTCTGTGGGTTCTAGATTCAGTTGCTGTTATTTGTAATTATAGAAACAAAGCCTCTATTTTCTGGTCACCTATGATCGATGGGTCAATCCTAGCTTTTAGAAGCCTCCTCATTTCTTGGTTTGTAGCCATCTTCATCCTCTTCAAAGCCAGCAATGGCAGGTAGAAACCATCTTGAGTTTTCAGATCTTGTGTAATTAGATAAGGCCCATCTGGATAATCAGAGATAATCTCATTTCAAGGTTGATAACAGTAACATATATGTAAATTTCCTTTGGCAAGTTTGGTAACATACTTACAGGTTTCAAGGATTAGGATTCAGACATCTTTGAGGATCCATTATTCTGCTATCTGTACTCTTTGTAGGGTTATGTCATTGGACCTGTCAGTTGGACACATTATTTTCACACATGAACACAATTCCACTATGCCGAGTGTGATAATTTGTAGTTAATTGCATTTAGGAATTCCCCAGGAGTGCTAATATCTTATCACATATGTGTTTATGCAACCTGTACCTGACCTAGAGTTTAACCCAACTGCTGCAATGGTCAGGTGTCCAGTGGGTATATACGTGGCTATATATTCCAAATTTAGTCAGAATGTTAACTTTATACTGACATAGGTGCTATAAAATAGCAGTATAAACTCATGATTTTTTAATATGAGTTTAATTTTTAATATAAGAATATGATTTTTAATGTGTATATACATGCATGTATATGTATGTATGTATATTTACACACAAAGAGATACATATGGTTATTAGATACATATTGATGTGAATATCTATGTATGTATGCTAGAAGCAATAACATGCTAGTAACAATGAACATACCATTTCGCTTTCTAAACATCATTTTCCAATAAAACAAACCAAAATTTTTATAGATTGGAGTTGTTTCAGGGCAGAAGAAATATAATGGAAGCTGGAAAGTCTTACAGTGCCAGAAAATAAAAAAGGGCTCAAAAAGAAGGAAAAGATAAGATCTTGTTGAAAGAACACAGATGCCAACAATTTGAATAATCTGTAAGTGGCCAAAGCTGAAAAAAGAAAATTGAATAGCAAGATAAATAATGATAGTAATGGACTTTAATCCATAAAAATATAAATATTCATGTCTATATTAACAAAATTGTTTATTAAATAAACATATGAGGATGACAGTCTATTCTTCCTTACAATATAATTCTAATTGATATATGTACAAGGTAAGAAAAAAGTACTGTTATGCAAACACAGTAATAATAAATCTTTAAGACATGTTCATTGATGGAAGCTAAAATTATATGGCAAATTTTGAGAATGAGGCTTTATAAATTCCAAATATCTCCCCTAAGTTATTTAACAACTACAAAGAGAAAGATAGTAAATTTAGAATGGAAAATCCTGGAAGAAGCTACCTGAGCTAAATTATCCAGGTTAACGAAACCTAAACTAAGATATATTTACATTATGAACCACTTGATATGAAACACCAAATAGGGTACAACATTGTCTCTGTGGTATTCTTTTAAACAATATATCATACCATTGCTATAAGGAGACAGCATCAGACAAACCCAAATTGAGGAGCATTCTACAGAATAATTGATCAGGGATTTACAAGTATCAAGGTGATGAAAGACAAGAAAAGACTGAGGAAATGTTAGAGACTGGAGGATACTCAAGATAAATAGCAACTATACATAATGTAGAGCCTGGATGGAATTCTGAACGGAAAAAGGACATGTGTAGATAAGCTGATGGAATTTTATTAGAAACTAGAATTGCAAAATAGTTAATAGTATCTTACCAATCTTAATTTCTGGTTTTATGTAATCCTGGTTGTGGTTTCATAAAATGCTAACATAGGAAAAAAATAATAAAGAGGTAAGAAAATTCATTTCACAATTCTGGCAACTTTTTGCATGCCTTAATTTAAAATAAGTTGAAATGGTGTAATCTAATAAGAGTTATTGGGACTATTCATGCACAGGCACAGATTACTACACTGTAAGTGGTAATGATAATGCTAACATGGTTGAGCACATACTATTTAGCAATCATCAATTAATTTCACGAATTAATTTATGTAACACTCATGGTCACAGTATGAAATAAGTACTATTGTACCATCCACATTTTACATATGAAATAACTGAGGCACATAGAGTGAATTATTTAGCCCAAGAACTTTGAAACCAGGCAAAGCCCAAGCTTTTATCTCCCATGCTGCATAGCCTCTTTCGTAGAAAGCTTAATAAATGTTTAATTAAGCTGATATTTAGATTGAAAGTAGCATAATTAAATTATTAAATTTTGAGAAATGGAGTTAAGAAATAAGTCAGTATAACTTCACAGTAAATACCACATGCTATTTCTCAAAGAACATGTTTTGAATTACAAATAATAAAAACGAAGAAAATAATGAGAAAATTTTCAAGTTAGTATCTATTTTATTATGATTCCTTCAGCTCTTATTTCTGTGCTTTAAAAAATATAAAATTAGGACCATTTTGATTTCTGTTTATTGTTCTTATCTCCAAAATTTTTGTTATGGGGCTTCCTGCCTGTTCTCTATTATTTTTTCCCTTCTCTTTTATCTATATTCCCTTAAAAGATCACTTGTCTATCTTTTGCTAGCTCCTCCTCTTATATTTGCCCTATTCCATTTTATATCTCACATAACTTGCTCTGGGTGGAAAGATAATGTGTCTCAACACAGTACATTCCCTCATGGCAGAGCAGCTAAAAGAGTAAGCATTAATTTTCAACTTAAGTATCAATATAAATTTCAATTTAATATAAATCTGAAGCGTTCCAGTAAAATCTTTATTCTTGCAGCAGGTCTCTCTCATAACCCCATATTCATGATGACTTTAGGCAATGACAAACAGCACACTGTGTCAAACTCTGACTCTCCCTCATTTCTTCCCTTTATCAGCCTCTCTCATATAAAAGTGGCAAAACTCACTGCTGAGAACATTATAAAATTTGCATTGTACTTTCAGATGTAGAATAGTAATTCTCATGGATGAAAAAAAGAGTAAGAATTATCTTTTACTTTACTAGTTCAGAGACATAAGTATTTCACATTGAAATTTTATACTAAATGAGTGGAATATTTGTATCAAGCCTGAAAATCAAAGTTCTTAGTACAGTTATAAAACAATAGGTGAGACTACACAAAACTATTCTTCACCTCTTCACTCAAGTGTTTTTGGGGAAAAAACACTTTTTTCCCATCTCCATTTGGATGAATGAATCAATGAGCATCTTAAACTCAATATGTTAAAAAACATTCTCAGGGTGAGCTATTGTATTAGTCCATTCTCACACTGCCATAAAGACATCCATGAGACTGCGTAAGTTATAAAGAAAAGAAGTTTAATTAACTCACAGTTCCACAGGCTGTACAGGAGGCATGGCTGCAGTGGCCTCAGAAAACAATCATGGCGGAAAGTGAAGGGGAAGCAAACACATCTTACATGGTGTGAACAGGAGCAGACAGAGTGAAGGGGGAAGTGATACACACCTTGAAACAACCAGATCTCATGAGAACTCTTACATAAGAGCAAGGGGGAAGCCTGTTCTCATAATTCAATCAGCTCCCACCAGCTCCCTCCTCTAACACTGAAGATTACAATTTGACATGAGATTTGGGTGAGGACGCAGAGCCAAACCATATAATTCCACCCCTGGCCCCTCCCAAATCTCACTTTCTTCTCACATTTCAAAGCCAATGACGCCTTCCCAACAGTCTCTCAAAGTCTTAACTTATTCTAGCATGAACTCAAAATACCAAGTCCAAAGTCTCATCTGAGACAGCGCAAGTTCCTTCCATCTGTGAACTCATAAAATGAAAAACAAATTACTTCCAAGATACAGTGGGAATACAGGCATGGGTTTAATGTTCCCATTCCAAATGGGAGAAGTTGGGCAAAATAAAGGGGCTACAGGCCCCATGCAAATCCAAAACCCATCAGGGCAGTCATTAAATCTTAAAGCTCTGAAATAATATCCTTTGATTTCATGACTCACATCCAGGTCACACTGATGCAAGGGGTAGGCTTCCAAGGCCTTGGGCAGCTCCATCCCTGTGGCTCTACAGGGTACAGCCCCCACAGCTGCTTTGGTGGGCTGGTGTTGAGTGCCCATGTCTTTTCCAGGTGCATGGTGCAAGCTGTTGGTGAATCTAGCATTCTGGGCTCTGGAGGACTGCAGTCCAGTAGGGATTTTGTGTGTGGGCTCCAACCCCACATTTCCCCTCTCCACCGCCTGAGGAGAGGTTCTCCACAAGGCTCTGCCTCTGCAGCGGACTTCTGCCTAGACATTCAGTTATTTCCATACAACCTCTGAAATCTAAATGGAGGCTCCCAAGCCTCAGCTCTCTCCCTCTGCACACTCACAGGCTTAACACCACGAGGAAGTCTTGGTGGCTCCAGGCTTGCACTCTCTGGAGCAGTGACCTGAGATGTATTTAGGGCCCTTTTAGCCATGGTTGGAGCTGGACTGTCTGGGATGCAGAGCACCATGTCCTGAGGCTGCAGAGAGCAGTGGAGTCTTGGATCTGGCCTTCAAAACCATTCTTACTTCCTAGGCTTCCAGGCCTGTGATGGGAGGGACTGCTATGAAGGTCTCTGAAATGCCTTGGAGGTACTTTCCCCATTGTCTTGGTTATTAACATTTGGCTCCTCTTTACTTAGGCAGATTTCTGCAGTACACTTGAATTTCTCCCCCCAAAATGGGTTTTTCTTTTCTACCACATGGCCAGTCAGCAAATTTTCCAAACTTTTATGCTCTGCTTTCTTTTTAAATATAAGTTATAGTTTCAGATCATTTCTTTTTTTATGAAAATGATTTAGGCTTTTAGAAGCAGTCAGGCCACATTGTGAATGCTTTGCTGCTTAAAAATTTCTTCTGCCAGATTCTGTAAATCACCTTTCTCAAGTTCAAAGTACCTCAGATCTCTTGAGCAGAGGCACAATGCTTCCAGTCTTTGCTAATGCATAGCAAGAGTGACCTTTATTCCAGTTCCCAATAAGTTCCTTATGTCCATAAGGAGGCCTCCTTAGACTGGACTTCACTGTCCATATCACTATCAGCATTTCAGTCTCAACAATTTAACAATCTCTAAGAAGTTCCAACCTCCCCTCAACTTCGTGTCTTCTTCCGATCTGTCCAAACTGTTCCAACCTCTGCTCATTACCCAGTTCCCAAGCTGCTTCCACATTTTTAGGTATCTTTATAGCAATGCCCCACTGCTCAGTACCAATTTTCTGTATTAGCCTGTTCTCATACTGCTATAAATACACACCTGAGACTGGGTAACTTATAAAGAAAAGAGGTTTAATGGACTCACAGTTCCACAGGCTGTGCAGGAGGCATAGCTGGGGTGGCCTCAGGAAACTTATAATCATGGTGGAAGGTAAAGAGGAAGTAAACACATCTTATATGGTGGAAGCAGGAGGAAGAGAGTGAAGGGTGGGGGGTGGGGGTTGCTGCTCACTTTGAAACAACCACATCTCATGAGAACTCTATCACAAGAGCAGCAAGGGGGAAGTTTGCCACCAGGATTCAATAACCTCCTTCCGGGCCCTTCCTCTAACAACTGAAGATTAGAATTCAGCATGAGATTTGGATGGGGATACAGAGCCAAACCGTATTAGCTACATTTGCTTCTCCAGGTTTAAGGGTATTCCCATGGTGTTCCACCATCCCTTATCAGCTTCTCTTTCACTTGGCCATACATTTGAAAATAGCCTCTTCATTAAGCATCCTTCATCTGCTCTTTTGACATACTGTGTCTATCCTGGTGGATCCTTTTTCAATGCAATGCACAGTTTTCCTGTATAAAGTTCTTATAACTTGAAAGATAAATTGCTAGCAACAGTTAGAAAAAACTCTCATTCACAGCTAATTCAATACCACTACCTTTCCAGTTTTTAGTAAATGAGTTTACCACCTAAATTACATCTTAAATATAAAACATTGAACAGGACCCAATTTTATTCATTCATTTTCCCCTAACCTCTATTTTAATAGAGGAAGTACTTCTTATCAAAGGTCAATATTTCCATCTATGCTTTGGATCCCAAAATTCCCACTTTCTTAAAAATGGTAATGTTGGCTGAATACAGTGGCTCATTCCTGTAATCTCAGCACTTTGAGAGGCTAGGGCGGTGAATCACTTGAGGCCAGGAGTTCAAGACCAACCTGGCCAACATGTCAAAACTCCATCTCGACTAAAAACACAAAAATTAGCCAGGCATGTTGGTACATACCTGTAGTCCCAGCTACTCGGAGGCTGGGCCAGGAGAATCACCTAAACCTGGGAAGCAGAGGTTGCAGTGAACCAAGATTGTGTCACTGCACTCCAGCCTGGGTGACAGAGAGATACTGTGTATCAAGAAAAAAAAGTTAATGCTTGATTAGCTATTTTTAATCTAATTTCTTCCTGTCAATATTTTTCAGCATTTAATTACGTAATATTTTTTGTCCTATCTTAAAATAATTCCTGAACTTCATATCTCTCTCAGACTACCTTTTTTTTAAAAATAGTCATTATTCTTGAAAGTGCAACAGAATGTCATTATTCTTCATCTCTGCATTTCCCACTCACTCAGATCCAACTGGTGTAAACTAGGCCAATGTGTACATTTGCAAGGCAATACGGGTTATACCTTCCTTTTACTTAGAACAGGTTGCTTATAACCCATTTTGCTGAAGATTTTATTTTGTCCTATTCTCCCAACAAAGCTTACTTACTCTACTATACACACAGATTTCTAGGTATATTGAATGGAAACTCCATTCATTGCTTTAAGATTTTACCCCATATATGCACTGGCCTAGGATTACACATTTTCTGATACATTCTGTTAAGAAGTGCCTCACCTTTTTTTTCTGTCATTTTCTTTTGACATATATTTTCTTTTCTGAATACATTTGAAGTCAAGGAAACAGTATCATAGAAACAAGTAAAATCTGAAATTGCATTTGTTGGTTCAGTGTAACAGCAGTGCATCTATAACTTTATTAATGCAATTTAATTTTCAGTGGCTTAATTTTTTTCAAGCAAATTAACAATTATACTTGATATTGATATATTTATAATCAATGGAAGAAGCATCCCAAAAAGGGCAAATGCTATATGGGCTCAGTGAACCTGGGTGAAAAGTTCCTAGATAACAGAGATTACAAAAAGTATTTAAAATGAGAACAAGTAGAATTAAAGGTCAACATCACTACAATACTGCTTATTAAATGAAAATCTTTGAACATAAATGTTTACAAATCTCAATTATTGGCACATTTTCCAAAATAAGAACTAAACATATTTCAATAACATAAGGATAGTAGAAATCAGTGTTTAACAAAATAGAAATTCACTTTTAAAATATTTTATTAAAAAGTCAATATACAGTAAACATAATATATTATTTTAATATCCTTCATATGTTCTTGAGTGCCTCCTATTATATAATACCAAAGATCTGAAAAAAGTATTGATAAATCATAATAACCTTTATTAGGGAATGATTTTCAATTACATATCTTTCTTTAGAAATTACATACCACAGGTGAAAACAAAGTTTCTTAGGTACAATTTTACTGCCTGATATATGAGAGGTGTTTTATGGTTGATAATGCAAATGAATCATTAAAAGCAACCCAAGAATAAATCAAAAAACACAAGAAAAGATAAATGTGTATCTTATATTGTGAGACAGAACTGGGATAGTGTGGAATGTGGCTTAGGACAGAGCAGATTATGAATAACATAACTTTCAGTTATGTACCATGCACTGTTCTGTTTGTAGCACACATGTTATCACATTTATAAGTCTGTAAAGAAAGCCTATTCGTTTTATGGCAAGAGAGCAGCTGTGGGAGAAGTGAAGACATAGGCATAGAGACTTGTGCAGGGACAGCTGCCTTTTGGGTCTGAAAGAATCTGGTGAAACTGAAAAAAGTTTCTTCTATCCAACTTCCTCCATTCTATAAGTAATTAGCATATAGCTGCTATGTAGTAGGTTCTTTGCTAGCTGCTGAGATGTATTGGTAAGTAAGAGAGACATGCTTGCTTTTCCGATGTGTTATGCATGAAGCAAACACAAAGCAAACAGCTAAAACACTTTACAAATTGGGAAAATGTTTGAAATAAACATACTTCTTACAGTATAGCATAATATAATTCTCAATAGTTCTCTCAAATAAAACAACTAAAATGATAGGCACAAACGTACCTAGGTACTTGGTAAACACTCTGATGAAGTGCATTGAAAGAAACCCAGAAGTTAATTGAGAATAAGAATCTTGTTTTTTTATTAAAAAGTAAGTTTTAAAGATGGCTTTACCTATTTTTTTTCTGTACTCTGTGATCATAAGCTTCTGAATTGGCAGTTGAACATCCCAGACAAGGTGGAAAACCTAAAGAACCCCTTTATGAGACTTAGTAATCCAAACTTAGAATCTTACAACTTCAGGGTAGGACTCAACAAGAAATAAGAAGCATTGACGTGGACACAGAAATGAATCTCAACTACGTCAACTTTGGCAAAGTAAATAAAAATTTCTTTTGCAACTTTAAAATCCTAAAGTGGCTCTAACATTGCTTTTTTTTAATTTTTATCCCAACATGCTACCTGTGTTCTCTGAAAAACATCAAACATCAAAGCAGGAATTAAATTTAAAGTCATCCTGGCTATTAGTGGCTCCAGGCAGGAAACAGAAGCAAATGAAAATCCTGTCTGGAGAAACTTAAATCAAGAAATACCAAAAAAAGTGACCACAGATAAATTTATATTAAAATCAAATAGCCCACAGGCAAAAATGACACAAATAAATTAGCCACTATTAAGTGAGAAACAATGTAAATAATAGACAGTGGACAAAGTCAAAAATTATTTCAAATATTGGAACTATCAAACATAATTTTAGAAAACAAATCTGTTTAATAAATTCAAATAAAAAAAGAAATATTTGAATATATTTGCAGGGAACATAAAAGTATGAAAAATTACTAAGAAGCCATTTTTGCATCTGACATTTAAGAAGCTTGGGAGTCAAAAGTATCCTAATAGCAGGTAAAAACCTGAACAAACTAAAAAACAAATAACAAATATTAGATCTATAAGAAAAGTGGAATAATGGAACATACCTCTGCTCCCCAAATTAGAGAGATCAGCAGGAGAATAATAAGAATCACAACTTCCTGGAACAGAAGCGCACAAGTTAAAACTTCTGCAGGAACCAGTGTCTGGGTAGGGAAATCTGAACTGTAATTGATGACTTGCTGGAGGCTCCCTGTGGACAAGTATGAGAAATAAAATCTCCAGAAGGACCCAGTCATGTTAGGGGTCATACTTTCCTGAGTTTTACCTCCTGGAATTTTATTTGATTCTCACAGTGAGTATCAGAGAAAAACTTCAATGCTTCTAGCAGGAAGAGGATAAAAGAACCATTTTGAAATATAGCAGAGAAATGTATCCTTTTTAATCAAGTATTCCTTCAGGAGAAACTATTTAACCAGAATCCAAGCTACTGGAGTTTTACCAGAGCCTAATTGACATGGGAAAAGATAATACCCAACTCCAGCCCACTTTAGCTATTCTGTCCTATCTAAGGAAGGAGTCGGACTAGAAGTGCCACATTGTTCAAGGTCTATTTACAGCAGTTTTTTATTCCTGGAAGATCATGTCCAGTTTTTTTTTTTTTTGTAATTTAGGAAAAAAATTACAAGACATACTGAAAGGCATAAAAACACAATTTGAGGACACAGACCAAGCAATAGAATCAGACATGGCAGGGATGTTCAACTTAGATTGGGAATTCAAAACAATTATGATTAATATGCTAATGATTCCAACAGATAAACTAGACAGCATTCAAGAACATATGGGCAATGTAAGCAGAGAAAGAAAAATTCTAAGAACCAAAAATAAATGCTAGAGATCAAAAGCACTGTAATAGGAATATCTTCACTGGGCTTATTAGCAGACATGGCACAGCAGAGGAAAAAATCTGTGAGCTTGTGGATATCAAATAGAAACCTCTAAAACTAAAAAGCGAACAGAAAAAAATACTAAAAAGAGGAAAATAATATAAGAATATTCAAGGACTTTGAGGCAACTACAAAAGATATTATGTATGTGTAATGAGAACATTATAAGGAGAAAGAAATTGAAGAAATATTTGAAACACTAATTGAGAATTTTTACAAGTTAATGTCAGATACAAAACTACAGAACCAGGAAGGTTAGAGAACTTCAAGTAAGACAAATATCTAGGCATTTATCATTTTCAAACTACAGAAACACAACTGAAAAATGAATCAGTGGGAGCTAAAAAAAGGTTAAACAAAGAAAAAAATACAAAACTCATATACTAAAAAAGAAAAGAAAACCATATAAAATGCTCAGTTAATAACACAAAAGGAAGAAAAGAGTATAAAACAAAAATAGAAACAAAAACTAAGGCAATAAATAGAAAATATGAGCAAATATGTTAGATATTAATCTGACTGTATCAGTACTCACTTTGAACATCAATAGTTTTTTTTTTTTTTTTTTTAAATTTAAGAAAAGTATATCACTCTGTTTCCCAGGCTGAAGTGCAGTGGCACACTCATAGCTCACTGCAGCCTTGAACTCCTGAGCTTAAGTGAGCCTTCTGCCTCAGCATCCTGAGTAGCGAGGACTCAAGTGCATGCCAACACACCTAACTAAGATTTCAGGTGTGAACCATGAACATCAATAGTTTAAAGGCAGCTATTAAAAGACAATATCAGAGTGGGTCAAATAACAAGACCCAACTGTATGTTGTCAACAAGGAACCTACTTTAACTATAAAGACAAGTGTAGATTATAAAAACTATCTAAATTGGAAAAGAGAAAATCCTATTATCTGTTCACTAATGATATAATTTTATATCAGAAAACTCTAAAGACTCCTCTGAAAGATTCCTAGGTTTGATAAATGACCTCAGTAAAGTTTCAGAATACAAAATCCAGCTACAAATTGATAGAATTTTAATACATCAATAACTATAAAACTGAGAACCAAATTAAGAACTCAATCCTATTTCAATACCTACAAAAACAAACATAAAATACCTAGGAATACACTTCAATCAAGGAGATAAAATGTCTCTACAAGAACTACAAAACACTGAGAAAAGGCACAAACACAGAGATAAAACATCCCATGCTCATGGATCAAAAGAATCAGTGTAATTCAAATGACCATACTGCCCAAAAGAATCAACAAAATCAATGAAATTCCTATAAATTACCAAGGTCATTTTTACAAAATTAGAAAAAAACAATCCTAAAATTCATATGGAGCCACAGAATATCCTGAATAGCCAAAGCAATCCTAAGCAAAAAGAATAAAGCTGGAGGTATCACATTACCTGACAACAAAACATACAACAAGGCTCTAATAACCACACAGCATGGTGCTGGTATAAAAACATACATATATCAGTGGAACAGAATGGAGGACCCCAAAATAAAGCCACACACCTAAAAGCAACCAAACTTTGACCAAGCTGACAAAAATATACACAAGGGAGGCCAGGAGCCGTGGTTCACGCCTATAATCCCGGCACTTTGGGAGACCGAGACTGGAGGATCACAAGGTCAGGACTTTGAGATCATCCTGGCTAATACAGTGAAATCCTGTCTCTACTAAAAATACAAAAAATTAGCCGGGCGTGGTGGCAGGCACCTGTAATCGCAGCTCCTTGGGAGGCTGAGATAGGAGAATCTCATGTACCTGGGAGGTGGAGGTTGCAGTGAGCTGAGATTGCGCCACTGTGCTCCAGCCTGGGCAACAGAGTGAGACTCCATCTCAAAAAAAAAAAAAAAAATACACACACACACACACACACACACACACACCAGGGAGAGGAAAACCTATTCAATAAATGGTGCTGGAAAAAATGGATAGCCCTATGCAGAAAAATAAACCTATACTCATCTTTCTCATGATATACAAAAACTAACACAAGAGGAATACAGTACTGAAATGTAAGACCTAAAACTATAAAATTATAAATCAAAACTTGGAAAAACTATTCTGGACATTGGTCTAGGCCAAGAATTTATGACTATGTCTTCCAAAGTAAACATGATAGAAACAAAAATAGACAAATTGAACTTAATTAAACTAAAAAGTTTCTTCACAACAAAATAAATGATTAATAGAGTAATATGAGAACCTACAGTATGGGAGAAAATATTCACAAATTATGCATGTAACAAGGAGCTAATATTCAGAATCCACAAGAAACTCAAAGAACTCAACAAGAAAAAAAAATTTAGAAGGGAGACTAAAAACATGAACAGACATTTCTCAAAAGAATACATATAAGCAGACAAAGAACACATGAGAAAATGCTCAACATCACTAATCATCAGATAAATGCACATTAAAACACAATTAGATACATGTTACACCAGTCAGAATGACTGTTACTAAAAATATGATATCATCTTTTCTTTATCCCCTCTTCCACTGATAGACATTTGCATATGCGTATACATGTATATATACATATATATATACACACACATATACATAGGTATTATATATATATACACATGGAATATTACTCAAGCACATAATAAAATAAAGTCATGTCTTTTGTAGCAACATGATGAAACTGGAGACCATTATTCTAAGTGAAATGACTCGGAAACAGAAAATTAGAAACTACATGTCCTCAATTATAAGTGGGAGCTAAGAAATGAATACACACTGATAAAAAGTGGAATAATAGATGTTGTAGATTACAAAAGATAGAGGGGTGATAGAAGGTGAAGAATACAATACTACCTTTTTTTTACAATGTACACTATTTGGGTGCTCACTACACTGAGGGCCCAGAATTCAACACTATGCAATATATCTGTGTAATACAACTGTATTTGTATCACGTAAATCTGTAAAATATTTTTAAGAACTAAACTGATGGAGAAAGATATAGCATGCTTACACTAATCAAAAGAAAGCAAGAGTAGCTATATTAATTTTAGACATAGGAGTCTTCAGAGACAGAAGTTATTAGGCTGTTTATTCTGTTGGTAATTTCATTTGATTTGTAGAAGCTCTTTGGTTTAATTAGGTCCCATTTGTCAATTTTGTGTTGGTTGTGATTGTTTTGGGGAACATAGCCATAAATTGTTTCTCAAAGCTGTTGTTGAGAAGGTATTTCCTAGGTTTTTCTTCTAGGATTTTTGTAGTTTGAGGTATGGTATTAAAGTTTTTAATACATCTTGGGATAAAGATGGGATAAAGAAAATATGATATCATATATGACTGCTCTTGTGAATGCTGCTGTGATAAACATATGAATGCAGGTGCCTTTTAGATACAATGGTTTCTTTTTCTTTGGGTAGATACCAAATAGCAAGATTGCTGGATCAACTGGTAGTTCTATTTTTAGCTCTTTGAATTCTTGTGTGTGGTGACAGACAGGGGTCCAGTTTCATTCTCTGCATATGGCTAGTCAGTCATCTCAGTACCATTTATTAAATAAAATGTCCTCTCATTACTGCTTATTTTTGTTAATTTTATTGAAGGACAGATGGTTGTAAGTGTGTGAGTTTCTCTTTCTCTATTCTATCCCATTGGCCTATATGTCTGTTTTTGTGCAAGGACCATGCTGCTATAGTTTCTGTAGCTTTATATTATAGGTTGAAGTTGGATCACGTGATGCCTCCAGCTTTGTTGTTCCTGCTTAGGGCCGTGTGGCCATTTTAACAATATTGATTCTTCCAACCTATGAGCATGGAATATTTTTCCATTTATTTGTGTCTTTTCTGATTACTTTCAGCAATGTTTTATAATTCTCTTCATGGTGAGATGAATTCCTAGGTATTTCATTTGTGTGTGTGGTTATTGTAAATGGGATATTGTTCTTGATTTGTTTGTTAGCTAGAACATTATTTTTGTGTTTAGAAATGCTACCAATTTTTGTGTAATATTGATTTCATATCCTTAAACTTTACTAAACTCATTTATCAGTTCTAGGATCCTTTTGGTGGAGTCTTTAGGGTTTTGTGCATATAGAATCGTATCATCAGCAAAGAAAGATAGTTTAAATTCTTATTTTTCTGTTTGAATGCCTTTTATTTCTTTGTCTTGACTGACTGTTCTGTCTGGGACTTCCAGTACTATTTTTAATAGTAATAGTAAGAAAGAGCATCCTTGTCTTGTTCCAGTTGTCTAATGGCTCTAGCTTTTGCCTGTTCAGCAGGATGTTGGCTATGGGCTTGTCCTAAAAGGCTCTTATCATTTTGAGATATATTCTCTCAATGTCTAGTCAGCTAAAGGTTTTAATCTTGAAGGAACGTTGAATTTTCTCTAAGGTTTTTTGTTTGTCTCTTGAGATAATCATTGTTTTTTCTTTTTTATTCTGTTTGTGGTGAATCCCACTTATTGATTTGCATATGTTGAACCAAACTTGCATCCCAAGAATAAAGCCTACTTGATGGTGAATTAAGTTTTGAGGTGCTGCTGGATTTGGTGTTCTAGTATTTTGCTGAGAAATTTTGTATCCATGTTCACCAGGGGTATTAATCTGAAAATTTTCTTTTTTCATTGAGCCTCTGCCAGATTTTGGTATCAGGAAGATACTAGATTCACAAAATGAGTTAGAGGGAATCCCCTTTTCTTTCTTTCTTTTTTTTTTTTAATTTTTTTGGAGTGGTTGTGGTAAGGTTCATATCAGTTCTTCACTGTATGCCTCTAGAATTTGGCTGGGAAGCCATCTAGTCCAGGGCTTTATTTGGTTGGTAAGGCTTTCTTATTACTGATTTAATTTCTGAATTTGTTACTGGTATGTTGATGTTTTTAGTTTCCTTATGGTTCAGTCTTGGGAGGTTGTGTGTTTTTAGGAATTTACCCACTTCCTCCAGATTTTCTAATTTGTGTCCATAGAAGTGTTCATAATAGTCTCTGAGGATATTTTATTTCTGTGGGATCATTGCACTATCATCTTTGTCATTTCTGATTGCACTTATTTGGCTCTTCTCTCTTTTATTTATCCAGTTAGCAGTCAACCAACCTTGCTTATTCTTTTAAAGAGTTGTCTCCTGGTTTCATTTATCTTATTGATGGGCTTTTGCATGTTAATTTTGTTCAGTTAAGCAAATTAACAAGCCAAAATAAAAAAAATAAAAATGTACAAAGTGCATACACAGACACTTCTCAAAAGAAGACATACAAGCCACCAATAATTCTAAAGTTTATATGGAAAGATAAAAAACCCAAATAACCACGTGAATATGCTCAATTGATCTTGATAAAGGAGCAATGGCAATTCAATGAAACAAATACAGTCTTTTCAACAAATGATGCTAGAACAACTAGACATCCATAAGCCAACAAAAAGAAGAATCTAGATATGGATGATATGTACCCTTTACAAAATCTTATTTAAAATGGATCACAGACTTAAATGTAAAATGCAAAACTATAAAACACCTAGAAGATAACACAGCAGAAAACATACATGATTTTTGGTTTGATACTGACATTTTAGATACAACACCAAAGGCAAAATTTTAAAAAGAACAAATTAATAAACTGATCTTAATTAAAGTTAAAAATGTCTGCTCTGTGAAAGATAATGTCAACAGAATGCAAAGACAGGCTTTGAACTAGAAGAAAGTATTGGCAAAAGACATATCTGATAAACAAGTGTTATCCAAAATATACAATGACTTCTTAAAACTCAACTATAAGAAAACAAACACCCTAATTAAAAATGGGCCAAAGAATTTAGGAAACACTTCACCAAAGAAGGTATACAGATGTCAAATACCCTATGAGAAGATGCTCCACATCATATATAATCAGGGAAATGCAAATTAAAATGAGGTAACACTACACACATCTTAGAATGGCCAGAATCCATAACATTGATAACATCAAATGCTAGTGAGAGAAATTCTCATTCATTATTGGTGAGAATATAGAAAGGTACAGCCAGTTTGGAAGATAGTTTGGCAGGGTTTTTTTTTTTTTTCAAAAGAAAATATGACATTATTACATCATCTAGCAACTGTGCCTCTTGGTATTCACCCATAAAAGTTAAAAACATATGTTCACAAAAAACTCTACACAAAGATGATGATAGCAGTTTTACACATAATTACCAAAGGTTGGAAGCAACAGTAGGTAAATTGACAAATAATCTGTGATACAACTAAATAATAAAAAATTATTTAAGACTGAAACCAATTAACTATCAATCTATGAAAAAATAAAAAACATAGATGAAACTTAATTGCATATTACTAAATGAAAAAAGGCAGTCTGAAAATGCTATATGCTGTTTGGCTTCAACTATATGACATTCTGGAAAAGGCAAAACTGTGAAGATAGTAACGAGGTAAGTGGCTGTTCGGGGGAGGAGGGAGGGAAGAATAAATAGGTGGAGCATTGAGGAGGTTTAATGTAGTTACACTAATCTGTATAATCCTCTAATGGTGTATATATATATATATATATAAATATATATAATATATAATATACATAAAATATATATGTCATTACATATTTATTTGAATCTATACAATGTACAACACTGAGAATGAACTTTAATGTAAATTATGGACTTTTAGTGACAAAGACATGTCAGTGTAAGTTCATCAGTTATAACAAATGTATCACTCTGTGGGGGAATGTTGATAATGGGAGAGGCTATGCTTGTGTATAGATTGTTGGTATATGTGAAATCTCTGTACTTCTCAATTTTGGTGTGAACCTAAAACTGCTCTAAATATAGTCTATCTTTATATTACAAGAATTTGTTTAAAATAACCAGGTAGATAGTTTAGAAACAGTAATAGACATTGCAATCATTGAGTTCATAGTAATTCAAATTAAAAATATATGGATAAGATTAAAGATTAATAAATATTAGAAGTGATTTTCCACAGCATGGCCTACGGAGGCAAAAAAAAAAGACTTAATGTCTGAAAGATAGTTTAAGTGATATGAAGTAATATATGAGAAAATCTTCAGTCTCTTCATGATTATTGTAAAAGAGGAATGAGAGAATTGTTCAGAGGAAAATATTGTTGTGACAGTTCTTTAGAATTACAAAGGATGACAACCCAGAAATTCAAGAAAAGCAACAAATCTCAATTAGATTAAATTAAACAGACAACCATCTGGGCGCAGAGGCTCATGCCTGTAATCCCAGCACTTTGGGAGGCAAAGGCAAGTGAATCATCTGAGGTCGGGAGTTCGAAATCATCCTGGCTAACATGGTGAAACCTCATCTCTACTAAAATTACAAAATTAGCTGGGTGTGGTGGCATGTGCCTGTAATCCCAGCTACTTGGGAGGCTGAGGCAGGAGAATAATTTGAACTTGAAAGGCGGAGGTTGCTGTGAGCCGAAATTGCACCATTGAGCTCCAGCATGGGTGACAGAGTGAGACTCCACCCCCACAAAAAATAAATAAATAAAAATTAAATTAAATTAAATTAAACATACATCAGCACATAGGCATAATAGAAAACATAAAATGTGTTATAGGTCTCAACAGAATCACCAAATAAAGATAAAAATTTTATATTTACAAAAAAATGCCCTCAATAACTATCAATGTGAAATTACTTTATCAACAGGCTGAGAGAATATATTTTTAAATTATATGTCAACCTGCTATCCTGAATCCTTAGTAAATTCTACTTGTATTGTTTGGGAAGTAACCCTTGTACAATTTTTTTTCAATGACTCTTGGCTCAACTCTTAGAGCAGAAGTTACAAACCAGAGTATTAGGGTCAAATCTGAACTTTAGCCAAATGTGTTTGTAAATTTATTGGAGCATAGCCACAAATATTGATTTAAATATTTTTACAGCTATTTTTGTGTGAGAATTGAGTAGCTGCAATGGAGACTGTGGGGCTCGTAAAGCCTAAAATACTACTGGGCCCTTTATAAAAGAAGTTTGCTTACCTCTTCTCCAAAAGAGTTTCATTTTCCTTTGTTGTAGCTAAACTCATTATTAGGTAATATTCTTTCTCCCTGGAAACAACATGACATTCTCAGCCCACTTCTTGTTTATATAATACTGAAAGCCAAGGTTTATTTGAAGACTAGCGTGGTCACAGGATTTATCATTCTAGACTGAAAGTGTCTTTGGCAGGATGACTATGTGCTTAAAAAAATATTAGTAGAGGAGTTTCACTTCTAGCTAAGAAAAAAATAGGTCAAAGGGAGTCCAATAACTAAAAAAGAAGTTTTGATTTAAGTAATATTTAAAATAGCCTTAGAACATAAAACTTTATTTACAGAACTAATGCAGGAAATAAACAAGCTGACAATCATATCAAAATATATCGTCAGAATTTTACCTCTTGATATTACAGAATATTTGAATAATATGATTAATATACATCACCTAATAAACAAATATAGCATGCTACAACCAAAAATAATAGAGCACACAGTCCTTAAACCTATAACAGATAATTAACAGATAATCAAATCAATTATTATGAAAATGTTTAATAGAAAATACACATATTTGGAATTTTTGAATCACTTGCCCAAGTAATCATTATATTAAAAAACGATATAAGAAAACACTTCTAAGAATCTTAAGCACACCATTCCAGAATAGACTGACACATGGATCTAAACAGAATAAAGCTTGTTTTTTAAAAAAAGTGTTGATTTCATTTTTGTAAAATGCTGTAGACTAAAGATGCAGGGGAAACCCATACTAACTTTAAGGGAGTTGTACCAACAAAAGCACCACCTACCCTAAAGAGAATAGAAACTGTAGAACCACAAAAGGGAATAAAAACGAAAAAGCGCACAAAAACTGTAAAAACACAAAAACAAGCCTCTGGAAAATTTACTTTTTTAGAAAAGAAGCAAGATAAAAATGCTACACTGATGAAAACAGAAACCATTTCTTATGTAAAAGATCAATACCTCAGAGCTAGACCCAAGAACCCAGATGACGGGTCTCAGAAGTAGAGGAAAAAAAAAATAATTAGAAAACCACTCTCAGATTGCAGAAAGAGGTGCTAGTCAAAAACTCTTTTAAGCCCCCAGAATCAGGGAGGAGTTGTCAATTGTGCTTGAAGGGATTTAAAAATTGCTATGAATCAGTGACTTCTAGATATAGTTTATTATTTCCCTTTTCGATTGGCAGGATGTATTGCTGTTGTCTTGCATGGTGTCTTGACTGTGTAATAAGTTTGAGGGAGAATTATACTTTATTTTTTTCAGTCGCAGGTCTTTTGAAGAGGAGAAACTGCATCCCAAGTGTCTTACCCACATCTAGACCAAATGCAGATGAAGACAGAATAGATTTTAAGCCAAATATTATAACTGGAGAAAACTTTTGGTAATCTTGGCATGAAAGTAGAGCTATTTTAATGTAAGAAGCACTGAGAATACGTTGTGACTTAAAATTACTTGTAACTCCTCCCATCAAAATGTGGAGTCTATTTTCCTAGAATTTAAATCTAAGCAGGATGTGTGACTTGCTTGACTAATAAAATGCAGTGGACATTATTCTGTCTCTGATCCAAGGCTCAGGCTTGAGAAACCTTACAGCTCTCGCCCTCACAGGAACAAGCCTGAAATTCCACCTTGCAAGACCTTAGGGAGGAAAAGGTCCAGCCATCTCGGTCATCCTAGCTGAGTCCCCAGACATTCGTTTGCTCCTAGCAAACATTATACAAAGAGAAAGTTAATCGTTCTGGCTAAACCCAGCCTAAATTTCTAACCTAAAGAATCATGAGTAAATAAATGATTATTGTTTTAACTACCAAGTTATGGGGTAATTTGTTACCCTGTAATAGATAACTGATAAATTTTTAACAACATTTTCCGTAATATAGAAAAACTAAAAATAACCTGGTATTTTCAGTAGAAAATTGATGATCAAGACAAAATTGGATTGTTACTAAGCAATGGAAGTGAGGAGTTTCTCTAGAATGCCCAAGATATCCTGGGGCAATTCTTTTTCTTTTTCTTTTCTTTTTTTTTTTTTTTTTGAGGTGGAGTCTTGCTCTGTCGCCCAGGCTCACTGCAAGCTCCGCCTCCCAGGTTCACGCCATTCTCCTGCCTCAGCCGCCCGAGTAGCTGGGACTACAGGCACCCGCCACCACGCCCAGCTAAATTTTGTATTTTTAGTAGAGACGGGGTTTCACCCAGTTAGCCAAGATTGTCTCGATCTCCTGACCTCGTGATCCACCCTCCTCGGCCTCCCAAAGTGCTGGGATTACAGGCGTGAGCCACCGCTCCTGGCCCCTGGGGCAATTCTTAGTGCCGTCCTGCCCTGCCCTGGGATTAACAAAGTAAAATAACAGCAAGCTAATGTAAGCAGATCTGAGAGTGACCCACATACTTCAGGGATGAAGTTTTGGTCAGCTCACCCCAGAAGGCATCAACCAAGCCAAGATGATTGCTGAGCATAAGAAGAATCCAGAACGAGTAAAAGGAAGTAGTTATAAACATTAGTTGTAACCATGTGACCACCTACTGCACATATTTCTTTTGAATTTTATATACACGTATAAATATTTTTTAATTTTAGATAATTTCTATGAAGCCTGTAAAGTATAATATATGTTTAAATATTTTGTTATGTTATATATTAATACATGATGCTAATTGTAATATTTTCACATAAATAAATATGTGTTTAGGAAAGGGAGGACAGTGTAGCAGTGACAACATGTTATTGCAGAACGTAAGTAAATCAGAAACAAATACATGCAGTACAATTCAATTTATGTAATTTCAAAAGCAGATAAACTAAAACAATATACAACTGAGAGATAAATACAAAAATCGTTAGACTTTTAAGAAAGAATAAGAATGCTTATTAAAATTGGGATAATACTATTAATAATTGTAATAATATCATACTATAAACAGTGTTTATTAGGCCAGGAGTGTTCTAAGGACTGTTTAACATAATTACCTAATTGCTACATTAATTCTATGAGTAAGTTATTAATATATGTAATTTTAACAACTATCCTATTACTCTTATTATCCACATGTTACTTATTACTATCACATTAATATTCACATATATCAGTCAGGATTTGATCATCAGCAAGTAGAACTACTAGCAGCCTTATGTTAGTGGTAGAAAGTAGACTGCTTAATTAGCTCTTATAATTGGATAAGTTCAAATTTCTATAACAAAGCCTTTATTGTATATATAAACAATATATAATATATAAGAAATTACATTACCATCTAAATATATTATAATTTTAATGCTATATTGTGATGGTTAATATTAAGTGTGAACTTGGATTGAAGGACGCAAAGGATTGTTTCTGGGTCTATCTGTGAGGGTGTTGCCAAAGGATATTGAAATTTGGATCAGTGGACTGGGAGAGGAAGACCCACCCTCAATGTGGGTGGGCACCATCCAATCCGCTGCCAGAGTGGCTAGAAAAAGCAGGTGAACAAGGTGGAAGAAGCTGGCTTGCTGAGCCTTCCAGCCTTCATCTTTCTCCTGTGTTGGATGCTTCCTGCCCTTGAACATCAGACTGCAGGTTTTTCAGCCTTTAGACCCTTGGACTTACACCGGCGGTTTGGGAGGGGCTCTTGGGCCTTCGGCCACAGACTGAAGGCTGCAGTGTTGGCTTCCCTACGTTTGTGGCTTTGGGACTTCGACTGACCCACTCTGCCTTCCTTGCTCCTCAGCTTGCAGATGGCCTATCGTGGGACTTTACATTGTGATCATGTGAGTCAATTCTCTTTAATAAACTCTCTTTCATATATACATATATCCCATTAGTTCTGTCCCTCTGGAAAACCCTGATTAATACATACAAATATATATATATAGGAATGAAAAAGAAAAGAAATGTTACGGATGTATTTATATCAAAACTAGGAAGAACTGTGTATATCAAGTAGTCACATGGTTGCAACTAGTATTTAAAACTGCTTTCTTGAAGTTTATATTCTTTTATTTTCAGTGGGTATCTTCAATTGTTTATTTTTTTCATGGGGTAAGCTCATTCCAAACTTTATTCTTAAAGTGCGTGGGTCACTAGCAGATTTGCCTGTATTGACTTGTAATTTTACCTTTTTAATTATAGCACAGGAACAGTACTAAGGGATGCCCCAGGGGATCTTTTGCACTTCTGAGATACTCCTCACCCCCACTGTGGAGTAGCAATCTGATTTTCCCCTGGTCATCAAAATCATTCAAATCAGCAAATACAGCAAGCCACTTTTTTGGCTGTTGATTTATCAGCATAAGGAGCCAGCTGTTAAGATTGTGAATAACCCTTGGCAAGATAAAAATGTAGCTGATGATGCTGGCTTGTCAGTGTTTCAGAAGTTTGTCTTGGAATGGACTAAATGGGACTATGAGTGCAGCCTAGTGTGACCTCAGCCAGATGAGAAATCAAATGGGAATCACAGCCAGGTATCAGGGGAATACATGAAAAACGAAATAGGATAGAGCCATCCAGGAGGACTCCAGGCTCAGATCAAGATAAAAGAGTGTAGTCCATGTGTTCAACAGCTGCAGATTTCAAGGGCAGAGACCCATGAGCAACAGATGGCCAATGAAAACCTTCATCTGAGAGTCACTCAGGGGCCCAAGGAGTAGCACAAACTCATTGTGAATATTCCGGACTCCGCTCCCTTTGTCAGGAAGATATAATGAGCACTTTTCATCTGAGAAAGAAAAAGATGAAAATATTAATATTAAGAAAGACTGAGTAGCTACCTTAAAATCACTACTGTAATCTGAACAGAAACTACCAAAATTAGAAGCAACTGCTAGATAATGTTAGTAAGCAAAATTAAGTTACTCTGCCATCCCACAAAGTGGGATCTACATTTCTTTGGTTACTGGAATGTTAGGTTATCATAATTGCCACGCTACCAAAGTGAGCATCCTGTACTGCAATGCATGTTTACTTCTCTATATTCCTACTAAGCTGTTAACTCTATAGTGACAACATTTGTTCCTTTTTATTTCTTTTCCACTGTATTATTATCAGCCAACATCATTCCTGTAGCATATTTGAAACTTAGTAAATATATGAAGAATAAATACAGAAATGAATGATTTATGAGGATAGGAGAATAGGAGGGAAGAGTAGGAATGCATTGAACTTGTAAAATACAAAGAGGGAAAATATGCCATACAAGAGGTGAGGAAAGATAGCAAACTTGGCAGGTGGAGAGCATCATTTTACTTAAGATTGACTCTCTGTACCATCATTTAGTGCCAGGAAGCATTTTTTTTCCACTGTTACACAAAAGCACATCTGCTTTTATGATTTATATAAATGCCTTTGATTGTTGTTGTTTTTAATATGATTGACTTCATTTAGAGCAATTCTTGCTAAGGGGATTCTATGACAGAGGACTCACTCCATCTCTAGTATTATTTCAAGTAGGTCAATTCAATTAGATACATTTTGATTGCATCTACGGAATTGCTATAACATCTATAGATAATAACTTTAAATATCTAAAAAACTAATTTTTTGAAATTTCATTAAAATATAACCAAATTCCCTTATGTTGCAATTTATGTTCAGTTGTTTCAGGCATAGTCAGAAGACTTAGAGAATACAATATAGCATTCTCTGTATAATTGTCTGCCGTCTGTTATATTCTTAGCCTATAATTCTAACTTATCTCTTGCTTTTCTAGTCTCCAGGCTAAACAATTACAGTCCCTTTAACCTTCTTTCAGAGGTCATATTTTTAATCCTTTAATCATTTATGGTACTCTCTTTTAATCCTCTGTAAGTTCCCTTTTAAGTTGCAGAGCCAAAACTAAATGTGGTACCCATGAAAGGTTTTAACCATGCTGAGATGCTGAGTATAATAGGAGATTTATCTCATGGTATCAACACATTCTTCTTCTCACCATGAATCCCAGTATTGCAGTTTTTAATAACTAAGAAATGACATTGTGCACTTATGTTCATCTTGTTAGTTCATCTTATTACCCACTGCTAATGAATAGCTACAATTGGGATTATGAACCAGAGAACCAAAGACATCACTTCAGGATCAAATGTGAATTATACATTCACAATAAAAGAAGAATCATGCAAATTCAGTGACCTTCCTCAGTAATGAAATGACTAACAACTATTACTTACCCTGGGTATATTATGTACCAGTGTAGGGAGTTAGAGATTCATTTTATCTTTTATCACCATAATAAAAGGTCTGGGCAGGCAAATGTAGAACAAAAAAAGATGGAAGGATTAATTTTAAATTAAGCGGTATGTTTCTAACATACGCCTGATAGAGATTCTGTGCTTTTCAAAAACACTCCAACTAAGAATGATATTTTTAATAATAGTATTATAATGTTCTTGCCACCAATGGAAGAAGTGTTTATGTAACAGTCATATGAATTTTCCCAAAAGTTTTCTATGCAAGGATTCCCAGATGTCAGTCAGAGCAGAGTGAAGAGGCTGCATAAAAGTAACCTGGGAATTTCCTTTTCATAGTTCGCTTTATTTTTTGAAATAATTGTAATTTATAGGAAGTTTCAAAGAAATGAACAGGAAGCTTGCATGTACCCTTCACGGAACCTCTCCTAATATCAACACCTTTTATCACCACAATACAATCAAAACCAGGAAAA
Source organism: Homo sapiens (assembly GCF_000001405.40). Taxonomy (NCBI): domain Eukaryota; kingdom Metazoa; phylum Chordata; class Mammalia; order Primates; family Hominidae; genus Homo; species Homo sapiens. Next base: position 83,880,273 of record NC_000003.12, read on the forward strand.
ATAACATTGTTACAGTCTTGACAACTAATCTGATTTCACCAGTTACGCATAACACTGAGCACGTGTGTGTTTGTGTATTCATCTCCATGCAATTTTATAGTATTTGTAGCTTAATGTAACCCTATGAATTAGTCATTACACGAAATAAACATGTATCAAAACATCACATTTTACTCAATAAATGTGTACAATTATTATATGTCAGTAAAAAATAATATGAAACATGAACTCTACATTTTTAGAAGTTGTTAAGGTCCTTTGGTCATTTTGAGTGTTCCCCGATTATCACAAGGATCACTGGCAAATAACAGAATCGAGGTCTAATAAATAAGACTCATTCATAATAAATTGTGGTTGTCCTATTAATATTAAGAAATTCACAGATTCTGGTGTAGGCATCATTTTACATATGCTGAGAAAATTTCCACATATTCTGATTTTAAGTGTCATATGTTAATAAAATAATAATTTATATTTCACTCTATAGTACATACGCTATAGTATTATGAATTCAATAAATAAGAAGTTGAAGAATTTCACCCAATTCATTCAAAATTATTGACTGAGAATTATTAATGTGCAACACTAAAAAATTCTGTTCTTACACATTTTTAATATTAATATTGGAAATAAATGATACAGCTCCCAAACCTATATCTAGTACTGCAAAGAGATATATAAGTACTAACATAAATATCAATACATAGGTAAAGTATGTGCAGATGACATGATTGATTATGTAGACAATTCTAAAGAAACTCAAAATAACCCTTAGAAGTAATAATTAAGTTAATCAAGGTTGCAGGATACAGTATCAGCAAACAAAATCAATTGTGTATGTACTGCAATAAAAACATAGAAATGTAAACTAAAGTTACAATATTATTTACCTAATTCCAAGACAATGAAATACTTATAAACAAATATAAGAAAACTCATGTATAGGATCTGTAGGCCGAACGTGACAAAAAGCTAGTGAAAGAAGTCAAAGATGACCTAAATAAACAAGGAAACACACTATGTTCCTTGATTAAAAGGCTCAAAATAATGAAGATGTAAATTCTCCCTGAAAAAAAAATTTAGCAAGGTTATCCATTGACGAAATTATTCTAAATTTAATGTAGGAAAGTTAACTAGAATAGCTAAAATAACTTTAGGAAAATAATAACGGAATGAATGAATCACTCTACCTGTTTTTAGGATTTTTATACAGCTATAGCAATGAAGAATGCGTGGTACTGGTGGATATGCAGACATATGTATCAGTGCAACACAGCACAGAAACAGCCACACACAAGTATAGATAACTGATTTTCTACAATGGTAGAAAAGTAATAAAAAGTAGGAAGAATAGTCTTTTCAAAAAGTGGTGCTGGAAGAGCTGGATATAAAAAAAAAGTTACCTGTGGTTTGAATATATTTTCTTACAATATGTAGTTTTTATTTTCATTCTCCTAACAAGGTCTTTCACAGAGAAAAATATTTTTGTTTTTATAAAATCCAACTTATTATCTTTTATGGATATCTGATAAAGGATTTGAATCTAGAATTTATATGGAACTTTTAAATTCAAAATACAATTTTTAAAAATCCAATTAGAATGTTTTACCACAACGTTTCTTCTCAAATTCAAAAATATCAAAATTTTATTCGTGATCTTGCATTTGCCAAGCGTGTCTAGTATTATTTTTATTTGTATAACTTGAAAATAAAGTTGGTTAATTATGTATTTTGAAAACCTAATCAATTAATTTGCAGAAAACGAAGACAGAAAAATTTTATGTTTAACCAAGATATTACATTAATAAAATGTTATTATTTGTATTAAAATATGACACAGAAATGTTACTTCTTGCAGTTCTTTTTTATGTTGTTTCTCATGGACTACTATTAACCCTGTTATGTTTTATAAATAATAAAATATCTTTACAAAAAAGAAATGTATATATAAAATATGATGGAAGTTAAAAAGGGAGAATATTTTCTACTGAAAGCATCACAGAAAGATTGATGATGAAAGAAAAATTGGAAATGTGCCATAAAGCATAGACAAAGGTTTGATATTTGAAAAATGGGAGCAAATGTATGAACATAAGCAAAGATTATGAGCAGGACTATAGTGATCATAAAAGGAAAGAGTGGAAAATAATATCAGAAAGGTGATTTAGAGTCAGGTCATGGAGTGCTGGAAAACAAGCCAGGTCTTTTCTCTTTATTCTGTAGACAATGAGAATTCAGCAGAGATATTCAACACTACAATATTTATCAGATCAATGTTTCAGAAAGGTGCATTTAGCAACTGTGCATATAATAAATCGGAAGACATACAGAGTAAAAATAGTCCAAAAGTTAGTAAGCAATTTTGATTCTTTAGGTGTGAGGAATAAAGATTTAAACTAGGCTGTTAGAAACTATAAGTTGGAGAAGAACCGTGCAAGAAAAATAAAAGCTATGGCAGAGAAAGAAATGACAACTGATTGCAAGTGGTTTTTCAGTACTAGATAGCAGAAAAGTTGCTAGTACTTTGAATCTCTGTCTTATGAAGAGAAGTTAAAAATACAGGAATGAAAGGCAAAGCATTATTGTGGAAGAAGTAAAGATGAGTGTATAGTAATAAAGCGGGAGCAGTAAATATAGACTGATTTTTCAAGTTTAATGACTCAAAGGAAGTGGATGGTTGCACAGTTGACTAAGAGATTTTATTAGGATAGAAAACATTTAAATAAGTGGAAGAGTAAGTGGAAAATTTTAATAGAGAGGAAAGTAATGAAATGCCAACAAGAATATGATACAAGAAGCAAAATTCTTCAAAAAGCAGATAGCTTCTGAGACTTATCAGAGTACCTTGCCTTGGAAAGAAGAAATGATACCTTTCCGAGATCAAGGAAAAGGATAAAAGGGTAGTAAAGGTGCCACTGAATTTATGACAGAGAATGAAAGGTGAGTTCCTACCACATTGTGTCAATATTATCAAACAATTTGTTTGTCAACATGAGCAAGTATACAGTGGAAGGCATAATAAAGTTAGAAAGGTCTAAAATACATTATCTGAAAAATATGTAGTTTTCCTTTAAAGTACAACCTGTTCAAGGGAAGACATCATATATTTTAATTTGTTATAAAACATGCCAAAGCCTAACATATTGCTAAAAATGTCTGATACATACAATATGCAATAACTAACACACAAGTATATTTCTATTTATTTATCCCAACTCTTAAATATAATTTAAATGTAAAAATCCAATGGAAAAATGCAGAGTTAGGAAGTTAAATTTTTGTATTTATTTGAAATTCATTTATTCTGCACAGACACTTTCCAGTTAATCTAACATTTATGCTCCCATGTAGTATTAACCCTACATAATTCCTGAGGAACAGTAGTATCCTGTGAAACTCCTCTCCATCTAGTGTTCCCTGAAGTCCCAGAGAACTTCTTCATGATACTGGAAAAAATTCTAAGAGTTTTCCCCCTTATTGAATTTGAACTCATAATGATTTCCCTTCAGATCTTTTGTATTCAATATAAGTGGTCTTGCTCTGGTTAAATTATAGGTTCCAAATGAGTCTGCTACTAAAAAATTATTTCATTTTGTTTTACCACCATAATAAACAATATTACTACTTTGTAGTTTCTTCACCACAAGATAAGATAAGCAGTCATAAAAGTATGTCATGTCAGTTGCATTATTACTGTTGTTGTTTTTTATTTTCTTAGATATTCCACAAAGTTTCAGTGTAGCAGGTTTTAGCTTGGGAAGAGGTAAAAATGCTATAGAAAAGACAGATATACTGAAATAAAAGAAAAAAGGCAGCAAGCACATAAGTTGAGAAAACTAATCAGGTGACACATTTCCTCATTGTTACCTTGAGTTCTATTCATTTATCTTGGCAATAAAAATGTCATCTGTCAGATACATGCGTTTTATTAAGCAAAGACTTTTTTTGTCAAGATTGAGAAAAGTGAAATCAGCAACATGGTGTATTAGTTCATTCTCACACTGCTGTAAAGAAATACGTGAGACTGAGTGATTAACACAGGAAAGAGATTTAATGGACTCAAGTCCTGCATGGCTGGACAGGCCTCAGGAAACTTACAGTCATGGCAGAAGGGAAAGCAGTCACCTCTCTTACATGGCAGCAGGAGAGAGTGAGTGTGTGAAGAAGGAACTGTCAAACACTTATAAAACCATCAGATCTTGTAAGACCTCATTCATTATCATGAGAACAGCATGGGGAAACTGCTCCATGATCCAATCACCTACCACCGGTTTCCTCCCTGGACACGTGGGAAGTATGGAGATTACAAATCGAGATAAGATTTGGGTGGGGACACAGAGCCAAACCATATCACATAGCTTACAAAAAGTTTTCTGCAATGTTTATGTCTGAATATCTTTATCTTTTTGCTATTTCCTCCAAAGAGGAATAGACTGTGAGCTATAATCCTGGATAATCTTCCATAGTATGTGTAAAAAATATTTTTGTCTTTCAAACATTAATCAAACAAAACATATATTTGATAACATCTGGCTATTTATACAATAGTCACTTTAGATTCAGTTTATTATAAATGTACTTAATTTACATAAGTGATTATGAAAATGATTTTCCTGCATTTTTTTTTCTTATAACATTCTTTTTAAGTTTATGTGTTAACATTACACAGGCCTTCTAAGATTCAGTGGGAGATATTACTTAGTCTCCATTCTTGGGAAGAATTTTGATAATGTTCACATTATTGCTTAATGGTTTAGTAAACTTCACTAACGGGCTCATCGAGGTTTAATGTTTTCTTTGTGGCTGGGTTATTAAGTATAGATTTGAGTCCCTTAATGATTGTAAGACAAGTTTGATCTGTATCAATTTTATCTGTCATCAAATTTAGTTATATATTTGTAATATTATTTTAATAGTAGACCTAAAGGTTAGCATCTGTTAGTTGAGCTCAGTTGTTGCTGTTACTGCTATTTAACTAAAGTGATACTGTCTCATTTAGCTTTTTTTTTTAACTAAATGCTATATCTTAAGCACGAAAGATTATAGAGTATGTAATATACTTAACGATAATGTTATCTTCCTTGGATAAAATTTACTTTTGTAATGGGCTAGGGTAGAGGTGCTAGAAATAACAAATCTACTTATTCCATTCAGAGATTTAGAGAATTCATATTTGGCTGCAATCATAGGTGTTTATCTATCTCCTATTCACGTTTTTCCCTAAATTGTAGGCCTCTGGGACTCCAACACAAAGACTAGAGGGATACCAGGGACCTCCTTTCATCAATTATGAACTCTAATATTTGTTGAAAGCATTGCTTAGCTTGTCATTCTCCACTTAAAAAAACTGTCAGTCACATTAAGAGGAAAACAGTAAGGTAGGTCTGACATGTCACTCTGGATTCCTCATTCCCTAGATTTCGGCCCTGTAATTATTTACTTTTGTGTGATACATTCAAACTAAGACTTCGACATTTTTTTCCAGATTTTTTTTTCTTAATTGTCAATGAGAATTTGTTTGGAAACATTGTAAAAATACTTTGCCAGAAGCTATTGCTTTATTTTTTCAATATACAATGTGTGAGGGAAGGCTGCAACATGAAAGGTAAAGAACAAAACAAACAGAAAGGAAAAACAAAAAACAGATAAAATGGCAGAAAGAAATCAAACTCTAAATACAATCCAGAGAGATGATAGGTAGGTGCATTTAAGGGGAAAATAATTTATCATTAAAGTATAACATTTAGAAAACATGAAAGTGTTCCTGAGAAGTAAAAAAATATAATAACACTAATAAAATAATTAAAATATGGAAAGAAATGTTGATAAATTCTCTCAAAAATTTGACTGTATAAAAATATAATTTATGAAAATAAGGATTAAAAAGTTACAAAAAAGCATAAAGGACTAATAACGAACATCTACTAAGAGAGAACAGAAGAAATTGGAAAGATATTAATTAAAATTAAATTTTCCAGAACTAATGAATATATAGAAAAGTCTTACTAAATTGAATAATCAGAACAATGAATGAAAGAAGGATCATGACATGTAATTTCATCTTGAAATTAGGAGAAAATAATACATTTATTTTGAGATAAAGTAAAAAGTTAAGAATAAGAATATGTCAGTTTTAATGATTGAAAGTAAAAGGAATAAATATATATATTTAATTCTCAACCTTCTGGAGAAAAATATGGCTTAAAATATATTGTTAAATTATTAATTAAGGATGAGGTAGAAAAAATTACGTTTTTAGATATATCATCTTTTTAAAAATTATTTTATTTTGAGACAGGGTCTCTCTGTCGCCCAGGCTGGAGTGCGGTGGCGCCATCTCGGCTCACTGCAACCCTTGCCCGCCTGGTTCAAAGGATTCTCCTGCCTCAGCTTCCCAAGTAGCTGGAACTACAGACACGTGCTACTATGCCCGGCTAATTTTTGTAATCTCCGTAGAGACAGGGTTTTGCATGTTGGCCAGGCTGGTCTCGAACTCCTGACCTCAAGTGATCTGTCTATCTCAGTCTCCCAAAGTGCTGGGGGAATATAGGGATGAGCCACCACACCCAGCCACATGTCACCTTTTAAAAATACTATCTGTCATGCATATTTTCTTTCTTGGGAAGTTGTTTAAGGATATATTTAAAGAAAAAGGATTAACCCAAAATGAAAAAAAAATGCAGTGTCTATTTTTAAAAAGCAACAAACAAAAATTATAGATCAAATTCAGGATAAAAGGCAAATGAAAATGTCAAGAGGATTAATAAATACATGTTCTGAAAACTCGTTGTAAAGCAGCCTTTGACTAGAGCAGGAAGACAAAGGAATATAAAAAATACCATCTTTAAGAAAGTAAAGGAGAACTGACAGATACCTGATGTGATGCACCAAAATGACAAATTGTTAAATTTGATAAAATGTCCATTTCAATTTCATTTTTAAATAATGGATCCTAAATCTTCAAATAAATATATTGTCTGTTAAATTAGTTTCCCTGATGTTTAAAAGAAATAAAACGTTTCAAAAGATACTAGTGGGAAAAGTGTACAATTTTAGAGCTAGAAAGCAAAAAAAACAGTGTCATTGAATCCAAGCATGAGCAGAATTTCAAAATGAAAGGTGGGGTAAATATTGATCCAAGGTTGGAGAGTCAATGGTGATGGAATTCTTCAGGTTATGTTAAGGGGGAAGTTTCTCAGGGAAAAAAACAAACTAATAAAAAAACCTTAATAGCAGATACTCAATACAATGAAAAGCACAACAGACATTATTAAGAAAAAGATATTATAAATCATATTAAAGGAAATATGTAGTATTAGTATTTATGTATACAATATAGTCTATAGTTACTTTGAAAGAGTAAATAATCATGAATATATTATAAGAAATTTGACATGGAAGTTATTAAAACTTGTTATGTGAAATATTGAAATACTTTATTAATTTCATTACAATTATTTCCATGTGCATTTCTAGTTGCAACAGTTTTTGTGATTCTTGTAAAGAAGCATAATGTGACTTAAAATGAAATCCATCCTATTCAAAAGTGATTCAGAGGTGATTACTCTTTAGCAAATTCAAAAACTTAAAGCATTCAACAAAATAAGGAAGAAAGTTCACTCTAATGTAAAGCCAATGCTTTTAAACTGTCATAAGAATTGTTGAAGAGTGAGTAAACACACATTTTGTCACTAAATGTCCATATCACTCTTCCTACTACACATGTAATCACTAACCTCTTAGCAAGGGACGTGAATCCAATCTAATCCCTGGATTTAGCCCAAATCTAAGATCTCTTTATGGTAACTAGTTTTCTCCATTAAGTTTCAATAAGGGTCCTTATGGCCTGGTGTCTTAATAAAAATATGCACTATATATACACCCTGTGATATTGTAATAGGAAAAAAATTACTTAAATGAACAATTTCATTCAGACAAGAGACAAACAAGAGACACACATGCTTCATTATTTGTTTCACTTATGATATTATCTGTTTCACTTATGATATTCCATAAGCTGGCAGTGGGGAAATTTTCTTGCTCGGACCTTAATTGTAGCTTTGGGACAAACTCTCTTATCCGTTGTTTTTTTGTCACCTCTGCTTCCCCTATTGCTACATCTAAAGAGGACACTGGTATGTATTTCCTTCTTGTAGGTGTCTGCCTTTTATTTTATTTTTTATTTTTATCTATTTTTTTTTTGAGACAGAGTCTCACTCTGTCACCCAGACTGGAGTGCAATTGTGCACAATCTCGAGGGTTCAAGCAATTCTCCTGCCTCAGCCTCCCGAGTAGCTGGGATTACAGGCACCTGCCACCACCCCCCAGCTAATTTTCGTATTTTCAGTAGAGACAGGTTTCTCCATTTTTGCCAGGGTGGTCTCAAACTCCTGACCTCAAGTGATTTGCCCATTTCGGCCACTCAAAGCACTGGGGTTATAGGCATGAGCCTATAATCCTTTAAAACCTGCTTCCTGCATGTGTGAGTTTTGGGGTTAAAGCATTATTTATAATTTAAAAAATGAAAGACATAATGAACTACAAAAAAGTTAGCCATTTTGTAGTGGGGAAGAGATGAAAGTGAGGGTAAGTACCTACATACAAGCTCTGGTAACAAACAATAAAATTAATAAAAAAAAATGGTACCCTAAAAAGAAACATGAAGATTGGCCAGCAAAATGGGGTAAAGTCCTCACATGCTTCGAGTGTAAGAAAAAAAACAATGTAAATTGAAATGAGCACAATAAAGGAGAGCTGAGTTAGCCCTTACTTATGAAACTTATAATCCCACAGTTTTATAATCTGTCCTTTCTCCGTAATAATTTAGAATGATAGCTATTACAATCCCTACACCATTGCATCCCATCACCACTTGATTTAAAGTTAAAAAAAACAACATATTATGGATGACCCAAGACTAAAAGACATAAATTTATCCATGCACTTCTCAAATAAGCCACCAAATCTTAAAACCCCATCTTCATGGTCTGTATTCTTAGAGAGATGTCAGTATCAAACACACAGTCATTCAGGGTCTTAAGAAAAAAACATATGGGATATTCAAATCAGGCCATTTGAGTAGGGTTTAATGAAGAAACAATTTACAAAGATATGAGCAGTGTGAAAGGAAAACACAAATACTACTGAATGACAATAATTAGGCTGTTATCATTCTGGAACCTGAAAGAACAAAAGGAAAGGACACATGCAGAAATTTGAAACAGAAACTTTGGGTAGATGTTAACTTCTAGTGGCTGTGATTTTATTCAGGAGATGCAGATAGCTCATGTTGACCTTAAAACATTGAATTAGACAGGGGAAATATATACAATATCATACCCTCTTACTTCTCTCCAGTGTCTTGCTGGCATTGTGATCAGTTGAACTTAATTTCAAATGTAAGGACAAGGAAGCTGCTTTATGAGTAATAATTATGTCAGTTGTTGGGACAAAGAAAAAGTTGAGAAAGAGGCACTTTTTCTTTGTTGGGACAAAGAAAAAGTTGAGAAAGAGGCACAGAGAGAGGATCTAGGGTCTAAAACAGAAGGTATCTGTAACAGATATCAACATAATGGAACTCATATTGACCTAAACTTGGAAGTGATGTTTCAGATGTTACAACCGCATGTAAAATATCAACCTCAAACTTAGGGGATGAAAACAAAAGCAGCATAATTCAGGTTCCTGGGTTGGATCCTTGCTATAGTCTTAGTATTTGTGTCCCCCGTCCCTTCCCTCAAGTTCTTATGTTATAGTGTAATCAGCAATGTGATGGTATTAGAAGGTGGGGTCTTTGGGAGTGATTAGGTCATGCTCTCATGGATAGGATAAGTGTTTTTATTAAAGAGGCCTTAGAGAGCTGTCTCACCCTTTCCACTATGAGTGAGTACACAGTGAGAAGGCACCAGGAAAGGGGCCCTCATCAAATATCAAATCTGCTGACTCCTTGATCTTAAACTTCTGAGCCTCCAGAACTGTACAAAATAAATATCTGTGGTTTATGAGCCAACCAGTTTACATTATTTTGTTATTGCTGCCCAAATGAACTAAAACATTCCTGAACTCTAAAAAGGATAGTTGTGAAACCTTGAGGAAATTGGTTGAATGGTATACTTTGTACTATATTTGCAACTTTATGTAAACCTAAAATTATTTGTAAATAAGCTATACTAATAATTATAATAGTAATTTGCTATTATCTTTCACAGGACATAGAGTGGATTGGGCTTAACTAAGTATTTCCTGGTTGAGGTTTCTCATGCAGTTTCAGTCAGAGGATGTTGGCTGGAGATGGAGTCATCTGGAGGCTAGGACATTTGCCCACTCTGAAGAAAAAACAAACAGCTGAAGAAATCTCACTCCACCACTATCTGGTCACTCCGTATACTCTCTTCATCATGGAAGCTTCAGGGTAGCTGGACTACTAACATTGTGGATGAGGGCTCCTAAGGTACATGCATTGAAAAAAGAAAGCTGTGTTGTTTTTTATGACAGATGTAGAAGTCATATAACAGCACTTCTGCTGCAATTTGTTGGTTGATGTCATTAGAATTTTCTTAGGTTCAATGAGAATGGATATAATTCTCACAACTCAATAGAGGAATGTAAATATTACCGTAAAAGAAGAACATGTGGGATGGGATCAGTATGTCCTGGAGCTGACTCACAAGGGTGGGTGGTTAGCATTACTTCTCAAATCTGCCTTCAGTGGCATCACATTGACATCTCAAAATAAGCGTGGTGGCAGTACTTACATCATAAAAATTGACAAATGAAACAAACACTATACCTCCACCTCATGCACATAGTCAGTTGTTAAACATTTACCAGTATATTACTAGATGTGATGTATACTGATGCAGATCTCTTTAAAAAATTCTATCTCATACAAACATCCCACAGTTACAAAGTGGAGGGGCTCAAATTATAAGTTAAATGTGTCAAATTACCAACAGCAATCCAACTGTGGTAATATCAGTGATCAGGTGAGAGGAAAGAAATAAAGGAAAATTTGATGGCCCCAGGAACTGAGAATCCAGAAATTTAACACAACAATAATTCATACTTGAAAAGAGGGGTTCATACTCTGCATGAAACCCCTCTGATAGGAGCAAGTGCATTGAGAGGGGTCTTCTGATAGAAGCCCTATCAGATAGGCTGACAGGTAGGCCTGTCTGATAGGAGCAACTGAATTGAGAGGGGTATTCACAGAAACCATTCACGAATTTGACGTTGGAAACCTACAAATGTTTGACATGCTAACAAAATAAAACAAAATTGAAACTCCTAAAATCTAAAGCAGATTACAACAAATGTATGTATAGTCCATGGCAAATAACAAAGAAAAATTATTTCAATTAATTGTAGATCTAGACATGTGATGGCAGTTCTCTTGTGGGTTACATCCAAGGATAGGAAAAAAAATGTAAAAATGCTTAAAGTATTTCCAGTGATAACATTTAGCTACTAAGAGACCAAGAAAAAATGAAGATATACAAATATAAAATAACTTATTTACTATATATTTTAGAATAACATTTGCTCTCACCGTATCCACTAAGAAAACTTAAAAATAATAAATAGTGTTCTGGGTTAAATTATGTCCCCTCAAAATTCATGTTGAAATACTAAACCCCAGTGTCTCAAAATGTGAGTGTATTTTGAAATGGGGCCTTGGAGAGATAATTATGTTTAAATAAAGTCATATGGCTGGGCCCTAATTCAATCTGACTGGTGTCCTTATAAGACGAAATTTGGACACAGGGATTCCAGGGGTATGAGTGCGGAGAGACAGCCATGTGAAGAAGCAGTAAGAGAGCGACCATCTGGAAGCCAAGGAGAGAGGTCTCAGAAGAAACCGACTCTACTGGCACCTTGATCTTGGACTTCTAGCCTCCAAAATTGTGAAACAGTAAATCTTTTTTTGTTTAAGCCACCCAGTCTCTGGTGTTTTGTGGTGGCAGGCAGTGAAAGCTAAGACAGTCAGAAACAATGAGAAGCTATAGTGCTGAAAAGATGGTCATTAAATCCTGTCTTCCTCTCTCAAAAGGAGCAACGATTCTTTGAAAAAATGACAAATTTCAGATCTGAGCAGAAAAAGTACAAGATAGGCCTAAAACAACTTTGTCATAAAAAGCAAAAACCTATCAAAATCTACTTGTCATATTGAAAAGATTTAGTGGCCACCTTTAAGTAGCTCCCACTGTCAAAAAATGCTGTAACATAAGCATCAAAGAAAAAACAAACAAAAACTACAATAGAAGGAAATATATCAACTATGTTTAAATCTATGGTTTTCTAATGGCTAAAAGAAAAAAAAAACACTCTGGTCACTTTTAGATAATGCAGGACAATTAACTCATCATTTTAATTTCTTATTAAATAAAATAAAGATGCATTTATTCCTCCCTCCCTTTGTATGCTGTGAAACAGCCCAAGCAAGTTGTGGAAGAAAGGATGTTTTCCCTTTAAAGGAACAACCTGTATAAATATAATTCAGCTAATAAATAAGAAAGACAATATAAAATTATAATTTTGCTATTTTGCAACTATTATCAAAATAAAAAGTCTAAGCTATTAGCAAAAAGAAACAGAGAGTAGATACTTTCTGATGAGAGAACACACTACAATCCTTGCAGTGTTCTTGCCAAAAAATTAAATAAAATGATAATAATAATTAATTCCAAGTCAGCTCAATCATGTAGATTTGATTGCCAGGTTATAGGAAACACAAGAGTCAAAAAAACATGATATAACACAATGTTACAATACAATCTTTCTCAATTTCAGTTAGGTCGAGCAAGCAATCTAGCTTCTTCAACAAATAAATAGCAAGATTGAAACATGATAGAGATAGGGTGGGTAACCTACAAATTAAAAAAAAAGGATTAAGAGACATATGAATTGTACTATATGATGTTTATCTGGAATTTGAGTAGACCCAAGAAAATCAAGTATAAGGCCATCAGAAAATGGTGAGTACTGACTAGCTATTTGTAAATAGTAAGAACACTTGGACACAGGGCGGAGAACTTCACACACCGGGGCCTGTCATGGGGTGGGGGGAGGGGGAAGGCATAGCATTAGGAGAAATACCTAATATAAATGATGAGTTAATGGGTGCAGCAAACCAACATGGCACATGTTTACATAGGTAACAAACCTGCATGTTGTGCAAATGTACCCTAGAACTGAAAGTATAATTAAAAAATTGTTTTAGACACAATGATAATACTGTGGTTATATATTTTAAAAGACATCTGGCTTTTAGTAATATATACAATTAAGAAAAAACTTAAAATTGAAAGTCAAATTTGTTCTTTGTGTTTTTCTGATACCTTGCATTAATGGTAGCTTTATTTCTTGTGTGTTTGGTAATTTTTACTATGAGTTAACTTTTGGCTGATTTTTTTTCTTGACATACTAAAGGGTTTGTATTCAGAAATTATTTCTTCAGGTACGATTTGCATTTCTGCTTCTAGGTTAAAAGGGCATACCAATTCTGATGCTTTATTCATTTAATTGCTTTGTTTGGCATTTTTATTCATATGAAGCACCAAATTACTATGTTAGAACATTGGCATGATCATAGGTTTCCATAGACTATAACGGTATTATGTACATATTTTTCCAGCTGGAACTGGAAAAGTCAGACATTCTCTTTGCTTCCACTCTACAATCACTTTGCCACTTGCTGGACCTTTCTAAGCCTGTGGTTAACTCTTTGAGCTCCAATATTATTTGTGATCTAGGATTTATCTTTTCAATTTCTATTAGCCTGAAGTAGGTTTCTTTTTCCTTCACAAATCGAAAATATAGCCCAAAATGCTTTATGAACTGAGATTTGGAGCAGGTATTGTGCATTTTTTTTAAGAAAACCATGTTAAATGCTGAAAATTCAAATATGTAGCCTACTCTTTCACTGAACTTGTATGCTGATTCACAGTACTTTTCCTTGTCTTTTAACCTTTTCTCTCATCCCCTGCAGTGATTAGCCATAATCATCAAAATTCTTTATAATATTCCTTTCAAGCCTCCACCTCCTTTAATTTTGGCACACGTTATTATCATCCCTTACCTCCTTTACACCACCAGGAAGTTCATGCATGAATACCCTTAACTCATGCTCTACAAATTCCCATAAACTTATTTGTGTCTCATCATTGTTTTTATTTCACTCACTCTTAAGTGCAAGGTCAAAGTCGATCTTTATACCTGTGTCTTCATTCAATGCATTTCTCTCTTGCATTTCCTTTAAAACATAAAATTCAGGCATGAGGGCTATTTACTTGATCTCTCATACTCCCCCATAAATTTATATCCATCTCATTAATCATTTCCACCTTCTTTTTAATATAGTTGTGATTCTTATTCAATCCACTACTGTCTCTTTGGAACTTTATTCCATCAATGTCTCATTGCTATTTATCAACTTTGATTTTACCTGTGTATGGATCATTCATCCCACCCATAAATATAACCAACCCCCACACACATACACCCCTACCAAGGAAACCCACCATTGACTCCACTTCCAGCTTCCAACATTTTTTCAGCTTTATTGAGGTATATTGACACATAAAAAGTGTATATATTCAAGGTGTACAATGCAATGTTCTTATACATATATACATTGTGAAATGATTACCATAATGAAGCTGATTAATATATCCATCACCTCACAGAGTCAGCTTTTTATTTTTTTGTGGTGAGAATACCTAAGATCTAGTCTCTTAGCAGATTTCAAGTGTGCAATACATTAAGAAGGAAATCGTATTGTTTGGATGAACCTGGTATAAACCTGGAGGATATTATGCTAAGTGAAATAACCTAGTCACAGAAAGACCAATACTACATGATCTCACTTACATGCGGTAGCTTCAAACTTTTGCTGTCTTCTTTACATCACTAATAAGCTTCTCCGAAGAGTAATATGCATAGTGACATCTCTTCTTCACTAAATACTTACTCCAATCCCCAATGCAATTGGCATACATCTCCACAACTATGCTGAAACTGGTTTTGAACAGTCACTAATTACTTTTGAATTACTAAATCTAATGGATGGACAAATATCTATTATCTAAACATATGTAGATGTAGCTTTTGACACTTGCACTGGTTTTAAATATCTACTTCCCACCCCTCCCCATCTCCCAGTTGTACTACTCTTTTCTGATTCTTCTTTTGAACTTGTTCCATTCAAAATGCTTGCTTTGGTGACTTTTTTTCCTTCCGTAGAGTGTTAGGAGATAATTCTCCATGGGTTTCTCATATTTCTGTATGTCTTATGATCAGAGGCACTGACAGTTTTTGTTGGGAGCTATATTTTGTGGTAGGCAGAATAATGTCAACCCCTGCCTCCAACCTCAAGGAGTTCCACAGTCTAATCCCTAGAGTCTGTGAACATGTTCTGTTACATGGAAAACCTAAATTTTCAAATGTAATTATAACTAAGAACCTGAAAATAAGATTATCCTGGTGGATCCAATCTAACTACAGAGCCCTGAAAAGCAGAATGTTCTAGGGCTGGAAGCAGAAAAAGTCAGAGATATTCCAAGTGCTGTAAGGATTTTATGTGATATATCAAGCTATGAGGTACAGGAGTTCATGAGTTCAGGCCAGAGAGAGGTCTCTGGTTGCTAATGGCAGCCCCCAACCGATATATAGCAGGGAAATGGGGACCTAAACCCCATGATCACAGGGAATTAAATTCTGCAACAGTCTGAATAAATACAGAAGCAAATGCTTCTCAGGACCTCTAAATAATAGCCAGCTAGCTATCCATTCATTTCAGACATGTGAAACCTGGAGCAGAGAAGCCAGTTAAGCCAAACCAGATATCTGACCTACATAACTTTGAAATAGTAACTTTGTGCTATTTTAAGCTTCTAAGTGTGTGATAATTTGTTATAGCAGCAATAGAAAATGAACATATTTTTCAAGGATATTCATACATCAAGCAGGCTTGGAAGATGGAGATGATGTCTCCCTCCAGAGTAGGGGACAGGTTTTTCTGCTGTCCAGCATGGTATAGATAATAGTCTAATTTACGGCAAAGTTCTGGCAGGTACACTTGCAACTATTATTAAAAAAATGAGTTTTTCTATGTTCAAGGTTCTCAACTGGGACACAAACTCACTACATGAATAGTGCCCATCTATATTCACCCCTGCAGAACTTGGGATGCAGGAAGAATTGTTGCAAACAGAAAGCTCATGCAATATCACCAAAGGTCCCTGTCCCCAGAATCTTGAGTGTTATGCCAACATCCATGGAATTGTGGAAGGCTTTCAAGAAGTGTAAAGTCTCCTACCCTACACATTTCTTGATACTACATTCTTAAACATTGGCATAAACCAACTTCTATCTAAATATGTTATTATTCTTTTATATCACACTATCTCTAACAATCACAACTATTGTAATTAAAATTATTCCTTATATGCTCAAGTCTCCCTAAATCTATATATTTACCTTATTCATCTCTCCTTATATTCAGACAAAAGCAAGTCAATGGTCTTGGTGTATCAATGGGGTAGCTTATTTCCCAAGATGCTTATGATCAATTATTTTCCTCCACGTATATATATATCATTTTCTCATATTATTTGCTAAGAAGGTAGATCTTAAGTATTGTCACCACAAAAAAAAAAAAAGAAGAAAAGAAAAGAGAGACGTAACTTTGTGAGGTGATGGATATGTTACTTAGTATTATTTTGGTAATCATTTTTCAAGGTACATGTGTATAAAAACATCACATTGCACACTTTGAATATATACAATTCTTATTTGCTAATTATCACTTCACTGCAACTTCTCCTCCTGAATATACTCCACCTCCTATGGGAATATGGTCTTAGTGATTTGTTTGACAAATAAGATGCAGAGAAAGTGACATTGTAGGCCATCTATTTTGCAGCTTCACCTTGAATCTCTTGGAATGCTCTTTCTGTAGAAAATAAGGTATTGAATAAAATATCCAGCTACAGTGAGACCGACCACCATGCGGTGAGGAAAACTCAGCTAGCCACATGAAGAGCTGGCCACCTAGCCATCCGATTCCAGGTTGCAGACACAAGGGAAAAAAAAAATCTTGAGCGTTCAGCCCAGTAAAGCTTTCATCCACCATCCAAAATGGTAATTGATTGAGACACTGCCAGGAGAATTACCTTGCTGGACCAAGCAACACACAAACTGTGAAAGATAATAATGAATTATAATTTTAGTTCTTAAGTTTTGAGGTAGTTTGTTACAAACCAATAAATAACAAACCACCATTATCTGAGTGAACTATTATAAAATCACTTACGTACAAAGTAAAAGTAACTTCTATCACTGAATTATTCATTCTCTACCCAATATGTAATAATCAAACACCTCACACGAATTTGTATATCATTAAAATATCTGGATTATCCTATATTTCTTTTACATTTCAAACTACACATTTTCTTAATCTTTAGATCTTATTTGCTTTTTTGTTTAATTAATCTGCATCTTCACATCTATTTATAAGAAAAATGGCCTGGCGCAGTGGCTCACGCCTGTATTCCCAGCACTTTGGGAGGCCGAGGCGGGTGGATCATGAGGTCAGGAGATCGAGACCATCCTGGCTAACGCAGTGAAACCCCGTCTCTACTAAAAATACAAAAAATTAGCCAGGTGTGGTGGCATGCGCCTGCAGTACCAGCTACTTGGGAGGCTGAAGCAGGAGAATGGCATGAAGCTGGGAGGTGGAGCTTGCAGTGAGCCGAGATTGTGCCACTGCACTCCAGCCTGGGCGACAGAGCGAGACTCCATCTCAAAAAAAAAAAAGAAAAATACACCTAAATCATGTTCTTGATTTATGGCAAAGTTTCTTTATTTAGCCACCTTCAGACACATTATCAGATTTGTTTCCATAGTATTTTATCAACTCTAATGAGGGTTATCCTTTTGGTAATACATTTAAGTAATTCACCAACACTAACCAGACTAATGACAAACTATTAATAAAATATTCCTGTATTATGGGCTCCCAAATCATGTAGTCATCAATGCATTCTATTTTATAGGGATCACTGTAATTGTCATTGACATAATTTACAGAATTAGCCAAACAGTAACTTGCTATTTTCTTTAATTAATAGGAAGGGAAAAAAATGAGTAAGTATTTGTCATGACATTTTTGTTATTTTCTCTATTTACATTCTTTATATTCTCCTTCTCTTTTTGTTATTATCCCCAAGGGAGTTTTCTCTGTGAGTCTTTAAACTTATCTAGCTTATTGTACCCTTTCATAAACACAAACACACTCATTCACATATCTGAGAAGGTTCCTGTATCACAACAAATTAATTGAATTAAAATTCAAATAACTTTGGGCATTGGTAGAGTTAGTAAGATTCAGCAAAATTACTGAGTAACCCACTACTTGAGCTTTCTAGTATTTCAAGATTTTTGACATACTTAAAAATGTTGTCACATTATTATCAGGGCTTTGAACTGCAAGGTTTTTAGTTTTAAGAAGGCTTTAATGGGAAGAATCAACCATCATTCACTGAAATGGATAAAACTATAAAGCTAAGTTAAAAAGTAAAATTGATTTTTAAAGAGCATGAAGAAAAGTACTCTATCCAAGTAAGGATTTTTACACTGAGAAAAATGCTTCAGAAATTACCCAATGCCTAAGAAGTCTCAGGCATTTCAGAACAAGATGAGAAAATGATTGAAAGCTCTAGAACTGAATGCCCCAAGGAAACGTTAAACTTGCAATTATATGCAAATATATTTTAGCTGTTCCTCTTTTAGCAGACACTGAAAAGATGGATTTTTTTCTAGAGATTTTAAAAGTGGAACATCAAGGATGATTTTCTCCGTATTTCTCAACACTTGAAAGACCTCATGGTAACAGTTACAAAATAAAGAAATAATGTATACTTATACTAAAGGATTTTATTTAAATATGTATTTTAATACTGTCCAAGCATAATATCCATTCATTCATTAAATCAAAATATATTTAAGACATGAAATATACTTTATATTGTTCTAGTTGCTGGAAATATACATGAATATTAAAAATGCAAAATCCTACCACTCATGTAGCTTACATAATGTTGGATAGAAACAGAAAAAGTATACAAATAAATATGTAACATTTCAGATGGTGATAAATACATGAGGTAAAGTAAAACAGTATAAGATACTAGTGACAAATGGTTTAGTTGGTTTTGTACGACAGGTTAAAGAAACTAGGTTTTCTATCAACAAGTAACTGATACTATATTTCAGTATCTCAAGAAAATAAAAGCTAATTTGTGCTCTTTCTCATATTCCTAGATACATAATGTGCCCATGTTCCCACTCCTGTAAGGTAATAAGTGTGTGTTATTTTATGCAACTAAGTTTGTGGTAATATTATTACTCTTAAAAGGAAATTACCACAGACACTTATTACAAATGTCAAAAAAGACTTTATTGAAGACTATTGCAATAGGAGAGAGAGACTGAACTCAGCCTTACTGAAACAAAAAACAGGAGAATTTTTTTTATTTCATCTGTTCTTTGTAAAAAATTGACATATAACAGTTGCACATAATTATGGATTACAGAATGATATTTTAATACATGTACACAATGTGTTATGATCAAATCAGGGTTATTATCATATCTATCACCTCAAACATTTATTATTTTTTATGTTGAGAACCTTTCAGATCTTCTAGCTATTAAAACACAAAATAAATTATCGTTAACTATATTCACCATCTAGTGCTACGGAACACTAAAAGTTATTCCTCTTGTTTAGCTGTAATTTTGTATCCTTTAACTAAGCTCCCCTATCCTCCACTGGTTGCTGGGCATGTAGATTGATTCCATATCTTGGCTATTGTGAATAGTGCTCTCGTAAACATGGGGAGGTAGATAATCTGTTCAATATAATAATTTCCTTTCCTCTGGATATATACTACATAGTAGGATTTCTGAATCACATTTAGTTCTGGCCAGAGATTTTGAGAATGTTTTCAAGCTGTTCTCCAAAATTGCTGTGCTAACTTACATTCCCATCAACAGGCTATATGAGCTTTCTTCTCTCCACATCCTCTCCAGCATATGTTATTTTTTTGTCTTTTTGATAACAGCCATTCTAACTGACATGAGATATTTCATCAAGGTTTTCATTTGCATTTTTCTGATGATTAATTAGTGATGCTGAGTTTTTTATATGCTTCCTGGCCAATTTGTATGTTTTCTTTTCATAAATGTCTATTTAGATAATTTGCCCATTTTTAAATCAGATAAATTGTGTGTGTTTTTGTCTTTTTTTTTTTTTTTTGCTGTTGAGATAGTTGAGATTCTTGTATATTCTGGAGGTTAATCTCTTGTTGCATGAATAAAAATATGTTTTCCCATTCTGCAGGTTGTGCTTTTCACTCTGCTGATTGTTTCTTTTGCTGCATAGAAGCTCATTAGTTTGATATAATCCAATTTGTTTATTTTGGCTTTTCTTTCCTATGATTCAGAGGTGTTACCTAAAAAATTTTCCCCCAGACCAACATCCTGAAGTGCTTCTCCTATGTTGGTCATATATGACAAACCCACTGCTAACATCATAGTGAATGGAGAAAAGGTGAAAGATTTTACTCTAAGAACTAGAACAAGAAAATGATAACCCCTTTCTTCACTCCTACTCAACATAGGAAAGGAAGTTCTGGCCAGCGCAATTAGGCAAGAGAAAGAAATAAAGGGCATCCAAATTAAAAAGGAAGAAGTCAAATTGTCTCTGTTTTCAGACCTTGTATTACATATTAAAAAAAAAAAACCCTAAAGAATCCCCTAAAAAAACTCAATATTTTTTTATTTTTAATATTATTTTTATTTATTTATTTATTTATTTATTTATTTTTGAGTAGGAGTCTCGCTCTGTCACCCAGGCTGGAGTGTAATGGCACGATCTCGGCTCACTGCAAGCTCCGCCTCCCAGGTTCAGGTTATTCTCCTGCCTCAACCTCCCAAGTAGCTGGGATTATGGGTATCTACCACCATCCCCAGCTAATTTTTATACTTTTAGTAGAGACAGGGTTTCACCATGTTGGTCAGGCTGGTCTCCAACCCCTAACCTCAGGTGATTCACCCACCTCGACCTCTAAAAGTGCTGGAATTACAGGCATGAGCCACTATGTCTGGCCAAAACTCAGGATTTTTAAACTTTAGTGTGAGCTAACGGAAAAGTACTGTAGAACATTTGTAGGGAGATTGTTACTTGATTAGGCCGTCTATGTTGGTCTCTTGGTGCTTAGGCTCCTAATCTCCAACAGAGACTGGAAGACTAGAACACTGTTTTTCTTGATTATTCCATTCTTCCTTGAAAAAGAGACTCCTAGGTAGTAGACTATTTACATCTCAAAGGTAAGAGAAAGAATTTACAATCACAAGTTTTCTAAAGTACAGGCTCTAAGAAAAGATAGGTCAGGTGCCTATAGTGAGAAAGAAAACCTAAAATTTGGTCAAGCAAAAGGGAATGTCAAAGTCACCTTGGTCGTTACACAGCAATAGATTAATAATACATTAGATTCCAGATATCATGTAACATAGCCCATCTACCTCCCACCTCCCATAGGAATTACGTATTGTTCTTATCTGTTCTGTCCTAGACAGTTACAGGACAATAAAGAAAACTTGCTTTTTTGTATTTTTGCTTTTTTAATGTGTGGCCTCTAGGCCATTAGAAATGATCATCAAGTCATCACTCAAGTGGGACCCTGCCTTAACTTATGTTCTAACCTTATGGCTAATGAAGTTCCCATAAATGTGCCTCTTGAACTTAGCCCTCTAGAAATCCAGGCCACAGATCTTAAAATACATTAAATTCCACTGTTATTAAAATATTCATTAATCCTTCCTGAGTGAGCACTCAAGCTCACTCAGCATTGCTATCATTCAGCACTGCTACATTAGAGAAATTATTTTATTAGTCCAATTATGGTTTATTTTCCTCCAAAGTTGAATTCTTCCAAAGTTTAACGCACCAGTATTTGGAGGAGAATTCCTGCTAACATTTTTATTTTGATTAGCAGGTACTTTTTCATGATTATAAAGAGCTTCCAGGAATTTTATTATAAATTGACTCAGACCCCTAGACCAGCTCCTGTAATCCTCTCAGAACATATCATCACATAGCACTGGAATAACTGGGCCAAGACTAATCAAGCCACTATACATGGTGTTGCATTGAATATTAATGGGATTTGTGCACCCAAAAATATTTCATGTTGCAGGAGCCTGTTATTAGAATACATTCTGTCATCAAATGAACTCCACCCAGGTAAGCTATAAAATTTTCTATAAAAATTCTCAGCTAACCTGAATAGGGATAATTTTGGTAATAAACAACAACCAAATAAAATGCAAAGTCACATCTCTTAATGATAACCTACTTTAATTTCCTCTTCCCTTAAATTCTTTCCATCTAAATTCACATCAGCTATATCAGAGGAGTCAACAAACCTTTGGCGTTTGTCATTTGGTAGCAATATTGTTTGCTTCATGCCAAGGTTTCATCATGGATTGTGGCCCCAAAGAATTCAGAAGCTTTGCTGGTCAGAATTCTCCACCCTGTATGATTTATTGATATTATTTCTCTCTGCTTATTTGAAAACTAATCATAATGGTAATATAGTCTATAAAGCACAACTTGGTAGTTAATTGTTTTTGGCTACCAAAAAATTGAGTCATCCGGCAATACAACGTCATTCCCCAACCCCACCCAGATTATATTGGTGGAGTATTTATACAGGCTATGAATCAGGAGAAATCCAATATCCTTTCTGTGGAGATCTCAGTTCCTCACAGGGGCTTTCTCTCAGCGTCAGCCATTGGATATACCAGATCTGAAAGAAATAGTGGACAGGGTTTTTCTCTGAATCTGAGAAACTCTCAAGAAAAATGACGATTGACTTCATCCTTGGAACTCTAACCCACTTAAGAGCATTTCTCTCATTTTCACGTTCTTCTCTGATTCTTTGTATCATCTCTTTGACCCACACCCTTTGCCTCTTGCTCAGAATTTCTCCTCCTGACTCAGCTGTACTCCATATCCATAGGGCAGACAATACAGAAAACTGGCTAACACTTTTTTATCAGAAGCACTTGAGACAGATGTTAAAGGATTTGATTGGTTAAAAAAAAATGCAGAGCTGTCTCCATTGATGGCCATGGAATTGTGGTTGCAGTTAATCCAGATTTGGCTACATGGGATGAAGTGATAATACACTCTAAAATACACTTAGGAATACATGCTGTGAGGTGTAGTGTGTTTTCTGCATTTACATCAACTTCTTTGGATATACACAGGTCCACATCTGAACGTGGGAATACAGGATCAGTCAAAATCAAACAAAAATTGTGTGATATTAGAAAGAAAGTTCTGTACTTTCATGTATCCCTTCTTCAGTCTTATTACCTGATCTTTGCAACTTTTCCAGTGAAGGCCCTGACTTACTGCCCTTCATGTACAACTTGAGGACACAATCATTTAAAAATTAATCCATACTTTTAAACATTTTCATTACATATTCTGAGTAGCAGGTGCTCCTATTACCCATTTCAATTTTAAATGAGAAAAGTGTTCTGAGAGTGTGGTAGGGAGGTTGCATCTCCTTATACTATGCTTCCTTGATTTTTCTGTTTTGGTACATTAGTAGCAGTGATGTGTGAAAAATGATTAGAGAAATAAACTCGGGTAGTTTGAATTGGTAGATAATTTGCTCTCTCAATCTTTTAATTGTATAGTCCAAATCTGCTTCTGTTACAAGATAATCAAAGCATAAAGTAGAATAAATTAAAATCCCATTAACAACAAGTTGTAGCACCCTAGGGCTATTGGTATAGATCCAAAATAATCTGCTTGCTACATGTGGTGGTGCTTCTGACTGTGGAGAATTTTATCCCAAGCCATTGTCAAATGAGCGATCTCCTGTTGAAAATGGGTACAGTTTCTCTTCCTAACAATAGATACATTAGGTGATGGGGGAATATGTGGAATGTGTTCCCTCTCTGTCCTTGAGTGCACAGTGTGAGTACTTGCATTTTCGCATGTTGCATAACCTAGGGAGGAAGCCTTCAAGTTCTGACAAAGCCATCGGCTGAACATCCCAATTCCTTTTTGAGTTGACAACTGATTTTTGTTTTTTTTTTATAGTTTGTTGTGTGTGATTGAGGGTAGGGGTCTGTGTGTATGTGTGTGTGTGCATGCACATACACATTTGTCTACATGAACCACTTTAATTCTTCCTGTAAATTTCCACTACAATTTTTTTTTATTAAAAGGCCCATAGGATGGTGTTTCATTTTCTGTTTTTTAAGGTTCATTTTTCTATATTGCATGGCCATGAGCTAATGCCGAATAATCTGTACATATTCAATCATTGTTCAAGAATTCAAGTCTAACTTCTTTTCTACTTGAAAACAAACTAAAAAGCAAAAACTACTCTTAGCTCTGACCTTCTCCTTCTAAAATTTTAACATCTGCAGGGTTTGTTGCAGTTAACTTTCAACTAACAATGAAAATTTCCATTGAAAAAACAGAAAAGCTGTTTTGTTTCAGTTGGAGAGAAGTATGTCATTCACTTTATACAGTAATGGGGTAGAAAAGTCCTTGGAGTGCTTGACAGTCAATCCTATAGGCAGTGAATTAATGGATTCATGAACAAGGTGGATTGCTTTGAACTTTACATGCTTAGCATGCCCAGGAATGTACTACTTCCATTTTATGTGGCATCTTTGCTGGGCTGCTTCTTCTCTATTTGAATATCTCTTACATCACCCAAGACATGATCAGTATGCCTGGCCCCCAGTTTAACTGTTGGAGCAATGTATATGAACATCCCATACCAAGATAGTGATTGTCTATGTAATGGGCTATGAAAAGCAACTGCACAGGCAGTCTTTAATTGTAAAACTCCTATGAATTGCACAGGCTAGACTGAGACTTTTATTTTAGTTGGACTTATCTGTCAGTCTCTACTTGTGGTATGGATAACCACAGTCCTTAACTCTTCCTGTGCCTCTTCTGTAGGGAGAGAAAGTCATGATATTATCAATGTAGTGCATTAACATACTTTAAATTGTTACAAAGTCCTGACTCAGTAGATTATGGCAATTCAAATATTCCCATAGCAAAACAGTAATTGTATACTAAATTTCAATCTACAAGAATGCCATGTGGTGTTGACAGGTAAAATATATTATTGATTCCATGCAATGTCTGAACATAATTATACTAAAAAGTATTGATTTTTACTTAAAATTTAAATTCGAGTGAATGCCAGTGTTTCATTTGCTAAATCAAGCAACCCTATTTTTGTGCCTGGATGGACTCTAATAATTTGTATAGGAAAGAAAGCAAAGGCCTTTTGACCTGCTGTCCCACTTGACTAGTTGCACTTCCTATGTACCCTCCCCAATATTAAGTCCAGCTGAATCAATCTAAGAAACCATCTTGTTTAATCCTGCTAGTCTATTGTTAACCTCCAGGAGCCATCGGTTTTGCATACTGGCCATATAGGACTGACAAAAAGGGCTTTAGGGGGACGTAAAAATACCCCTTTAATTGTTCCCTCAACCATAACAGTGAGCTCTCAATGCCTCCCTGGAACACTTTTGCTTAAACTTTGATATAGAGCAGTGATGGGACAAATTTTATATTGAGCTTGGTGAATTAACTGGTTGAAGACCACATTTAGTCTGTGGAACCTGTAAGGGAAATTATGCCCTATTTTCACTCAATAACTACTCAAGGGACTTACTCAGACAATCTGTCTGGTACCATTTTCCAAATTGTTACTCAAACTTCACTTTAGTTTTTTCTACCAAACATGTCCATGTGCTCCTAGCTTTGCCTTCAGGCCCATCAGAGTGCTATCTGTATCCATCAGAGGGACTACTGCAGACAGTAAGGAACCCCCATATCTAGAAGTCCTAAGGTTTGTTGCGTATCACCCCTTGAACATGTCACTCAATTTTTTTGTATACAAAGGCCCTACTCAAGGGTTGGGCAAGCAAATTTAGGCCTTTCACTGATTTTTTTTTTTTTATTTTTTTAGATTTTTCCTGCTTTAGAGTATAAATTTACATCCTCCTCTCCAAATCCCTGCCCATTTAATATATTTTATTCTAAATTGTAATCCTCACAATTTAATTTGAATTCCTTTAGGCCAAAATAAAGAAATAATATTTGATGTGGTAATTTGAGAGGTAAGTCAAGCAGATCTCTTACTTCCACACCCCATCCTACGTTGCTAATGAGCTATAAATTCCTTAATGGGAATCCTATCAAGTTTCTCTGTTTTTATCCCATTCTTTGAAAGCCATCTAAAAGACTCCATTTAGCTTTGTTAAGTTTCCCTTGTCATTTTCTTCTCTATCTTTTCTATTTCTTCCCATTATGTTGGCTCTTGCAAAGCTAGCATTTATTTTATCATATCATAAAACTCCCCACATAAATAACAAGTCAGTTATTACCTGCTAAATATTCGCTTGACCCCAGAAACAAGATTGTATAAGGTTTAGAAGATTGAGGAATCTTGTGTTGTTACTTTAGTTTACATAATGGTCTCTATCAATGACATTAAATTAAGTGTGTCCCTCTTGTAATCATAAAACCAATTCAGAATTGCCTGCATTTACAATATTTCTACTGTTTTAAAAGGAGTCTGGGCAGTTACTCCTTTCAGTTTAGATCTGCCAAAAGCTTCTATTCACCAACTGTAGCAAGTTTAGAGTCATCATCTGAAAATTTCTGCTCATACAGGTTTATGTGAGGATTATTTGTCAACTTAAAGAATCTCTTCCAATCAGGATTTTCCAGAAATAGTGACCCTTCAAATCTCGCTATGGTTTATTTTAAGAATCTATGCCAGTAAGAATTCATCAGTCTTCTGTTGTAAAGAACCCTAGTTCTTTAACAGAGTATCTTGGAATTTCATGGTCATTTAACCATGATCTTTATTCTTGTATATGTTTTTGATTCATCAGTGGTCTTAATTGAATTAATATATGAGATTAAGGTGCCAGTTGGCTATTCAGTTGTCTATGGAAGCAGCAGAAGGCTTTTCCAGTGACAGGAATTTCTGATTTTATATTTTTCATCCTATTTAGTAAGCATCTTCCAGACATCTAGTCTTTACCCTCAGGGGTATCAACGGTTAAAGAAACATTTTTTTTTTTTTTTTTTTTTTTTGCTAATTTCCCTCCTGCCTAGTGACATATTCCTTGTCTGTTCATTTAGATGGCTCCTACAAGTCTAATTTCTCTAAGTCCACTGGCCAGGCTCTTGTAACCTATCTCAAGATTGCCACAGCTCATATCAAGGATGAGAAGACATCAACATGACATAAAATCCTCACTATGGTTTTCTGTCTCTTCCTGGTTCTTGGCTAAAGGTGACTCAGACATTTATGAACTGTGGGCTTGAAAGACAGTCATGAACATAGTGCCAATCTGTGTTAACAAAAGGAGAGCTTGTGAAGTTCAACTTGGAAGAATCAGAGATCTTCTCCAGTATATAACTTAATTAAAAATTCAAATAATTGACATAATCATGAGATCCTGGAAAGTAATGGAGACACTTGAGAGCTCAAAAACAGCTCCCCTCTTTCTCTTTTTGTTACATTTGGATGTACTCTAGCATTTGGGGCATCACTTACCCAAAAGGGGTTTTTCAGTCATGAAAGAGCTCCATTTTGTACTTCAAATATTACATAGTAAATAGTGACATTTTCCAGTGTGTTATGTGCCCCCAAATTTATAAATTCTGTTTATTTTCATAAACAACTTAGGCAGACTTCATAAACCCTGTTGAAAGCATAGCTAAGGACTCTACTATCTTGTCATTAAAGAAAAATAGCATCAGGAGGTCTGATTAGCACGTGAGAAATGAGATTTGGCTTGTTCATTTTTTTCTTTCGTTTATTTATTTTTTCTGCTCTCCTTGGGATCCTAAATGTAGGAAAGATGTTAAAGACTAGTTGTTAATTCTCTACTTTTTAATCATGCTTGGATTCAGAGGCATAAAAAAATAAAAATAATTCTTTACACATAGTTATATAGCAAACACTTATATACCACTTATTATATGGCAGACACTAGTCTAACCACTTTTACAAATAATGTTTCATTTAATTGAATTCCACTGAACAATCTTATGAGATAGTTATTATTTGGTCATTACTATAATCATTTTACAGATGAAGAAACAAAGACATGAGGTTAGTAACCTGCCCAAGGTAAGTAGAAGAGACAGATTTAAATATAAACATCTGGCTTCAGTATTCACTGTTAATCTACATGTTAAACTATGCTAATCTGCTCTTTTTTAAGTTACTATGTTCAAAATTATTAATGCAAATGTGAGGTTTTTAACATCATTTGAGAAGGAACATCATGTAACATTTGGTGGACTATCAGTCTAGAACTTTGGCTTTTATTCTGACCACAACACCACCTGAGTGACCCTTGTTATGCCCGTTAAAGTATTCTCCTTCAGACAATGTAGGAGATGTTCATGGATGTATAAGATTTGAAGAATCTCGCTTTCCAAGCCCCAAGATAATAGGAGTAAGACACTATGATGCAAATGTGCCCTTTTAGTAGTGATAACTATAACTTCTGATGTTTCCAAAATGTGCCAGGGCCATATATTAAGAGAAAGTGGAACAACGAGACCAAGAAGCGGCTTAGGAAGAAGTACCCTGAACCATGTTATAAATAGACAAGCAAACAAACAACACATTCATACACAGTGATAGATGATAGACAGGTGATAGATGACAGATAGATAGATAGATAGATAGATAGATAGATAGATAGACAGATAGATAAATGACAGATAGAAGATAGATATCCATCTTCTGTTTCATTTCATTTATTGTCTTTTTAATTCCAAAAGTATTTATTGATTGTCTACTCTGCTTTCAATGTGCCAGTATTGTTCTAAGCACTGGGAATACAGATGATTTTAGTTAAATACAGACATATGTAATAACTATAAGATATCTGAATGTAAATATAAACTAACATATATTTTCTGTATTTTAATGATATTTTAAAATCCAGCTTATCTATATAAGGGTCAATGTATGAAGACATTGAAAATATGTATGAAGTATTTTCATTTAAGAAATAGTTATTAAATGCACAGTACGTCTCAGGTATATTACTAGCTTGTGGGAGTACAAGAATAAATAAACTCGAATATAAAATATGTAATATACCCAGAATATTTGGCCAGAAAACTACTTTAAGCAATTTAAATGACTAATAATTTGGAATTAATTACCATTAATTAGTTTTTTATTCATTTAATTATGCAATTTGTTAAGAAATTAGTATTTGGGCAGAGGAGGTAGAGAAGTCATTTGAGAACAGAACAGGAAGATACCTGAGAGAAAACATAATTTCTCTTATTTCTCATTTTAGGTTCTTAGTCGAGACACTTTTCAGATGTCAAATTATCAAAAGAAAAATATGCAGTTTATTAATGCCTGCTATACTCATCACATGGGAGAGACCTTGGTTCAAAATTATTTCTATCTAAAGAAAGTGGCTTAGGGGCTTTGCTTAAATAGTATTTTCACAAGGAGCCATAAACCCTAAATAGTAGCAAGACAAAGCAAAGAGCAGTTCTAGTATTTTAAAAGGTGTGAAATTGTGGTAAGATAGTAAAATCTGTTTCCAGGTTCCTCTGGTGCCTGCTGGTGCCTTCTCTGGGCCAATAAGCAAGTGCTCTTTCCAGTAAGGAAGGATAGATTCCTGCTACCAGGCAAATAGAGGCGGAGGCAGAGTGTTTCTCTGTTTTAGTGTTTTAACTTAAAAATACTCAATATTTAGGGATAAATATTTTGGTTTCCTTTAGTCTCTTCTTTGAAACTTTACTTTCAAAAAGTTTAACATATTAAAGTTTCACTGTTTCACCTGTAGCTCCTACCACAGTGCCTAGCACATAGTAGATGTTCAATATATATTTGTTTAATAAATAAATGACTTTACAAAACACAAATAAATGACTTTACAAAACATTTTTGTAATTTTTTGTTTAGTAAATAAATGACTAAACAAAATTAATTTAATAAATAAAAAAATTATACAAAAAATTTTATTCAAAAGAGAAAGGCAAATTCTACCTTTGTATTAGTTGTATTAATATTAAACCTAATTTTCATAAAACTTTCTAAACTAATATACCTAATCTCAATTAGCTTTGACCACATGATATTTCTATAAACTTTCTATAATCTTTTAGATTTTATCTTCTTTCTTTCTCCAACTTTCTATGTCCATTTAGTTTACCTATCTCATTTTTTTGTTTCATATTTTGTGAAAACAACTTTGAAATAATTTTTCAACGAGACAAAATCATTTTTGAAACAAAAGCATGTTCTCATACTTCATAATCTCATTAATAAAAAATCTTGCCTTCCATGTATACTCTGTATACAGAATTGAGTCGTTTTTTAATCTCCCTAATTAGTTATTATATATTAGTAAGAATTTTACTATTATTAACCTTAATTCATAGCAAAAATCTAAGAAGTATGAAATTTTTATCTGTCAGTTACATGCCAACAGTTTATGAATACACATTTTATGACTTTAAAAAATAGATTTCAAATGAAACAATTTTTCCGTGGAACAGAACATATTTACTAATAGAAATAAATATGTTTTGTTTTTCTAAAATAATAAATCAAAAGTATACAAGTTTAAACTCATATTTAATAACTAATATCATAGCATATCTTAGTTGGAAAGGATCTAGATTTTCAATATGTTGGTAGATTTAGAGAAATTTGGGTTTGAGATGTTTAAGATAAGAGATTGGCAAAGTGGGAGAAAACATGGAACTAGAAGAAACAAAAAATTTGAGTACATTGTCCCATATCTCCTATTGAAACAGTACTTTAGTCTTGAAAATAGTCAATTCTGCTGAACAATTGTATCTCATTCCAGGAAGTGGTGTTGTATGTGGGTTTTCTTTAAAAGTAGTTCTCTATGTGGTATAGATAAACAGGTATTTAGTAAGAGGTATTTCTAAGGAAGCAAAAGAAAAAACAAAGGTTAACATCTGGAGCAGTCCACAAAACAGTCTCCGATTGTGGAAGTCAGTCAGCTGAAAAGATTTTGAGATTTGTGCTCTTAAGTATCTACAGTTGGAGTGAAAGTGAACAGTGATAATCTGACAGATTTTCCTGGATTGTAGTTTGCATCATATGTCCCATTAAATTTTTTGTCCATAAATAAGTTGTGTTATTTCTCCAAAGTTTATATCAAGTTGTCTAACCTTAGCTTGTAGGGCTTCAAGAAAAGCACAGCTTAAATTTCCAGTGATTTTAAGTTGGAAAGGAGGTGGGAGAAAAATTGGAGAAATTAATCTGGTGAGTTGTAGCCAAATGTTGAAGTTAACTAAAAATTCAGTATTCAGTTTAGATAATACCAAAATTAAAATAAGCAAAAAAAAAAAAAACAAAAAAAAAAACAATGGACAGGGCAAGAATCTAAAAACAGGTGTACTATAGTTTTCTTCTGAAACATAATTTTTTCCTTACAATCACCCCCATTTTTACTAAATGTATTTAATGTGAAGCCAATTTAGTTGTAAAATAAATTTTATTTAGCCTTAACACTTGGCCTGATTTTTTTGCATAAAGTACAGCAAAAATAATTATTGGTCATATAGCTTTTTGTTTTTATTCTGTTTTGCTAGATTTATCATAATAAATCTCAGATTATACTTTTAAAAGCCTCTCCAGGCTGTGAAACCAACCCGTGAACTCACCATCAGCTTTTACCTGTAATATCTGAGTGAATTCTTCTTTTTTGGAGCTTCCCTAAATATTTTGAGGTTCTTGGGCCTGTCATAAAGTGACATTCTTTTCTTAATATAAGGCTAGAAACCTTGTAAGGGAAATACGTAGATAAGGTACTAGGCTAGTTCTTCCAAGGAATTAAATGACTCCTTAAAGCTAATGTTAATTTCTTAAAGTATTCTGGTCATATCTGAAAATATGCCATCCTAGTCAAAGCCTTGGTGATATAACCTGTGCTTCCAATTATCCTGCTACAAAAAAAAGCAAATTCACATTGAATTAATATAAATAAATGTATTGTCAAAAATTTAAGAATACATACAAACAGTTTCTTAATTTTGGAGCGATCAGATAGAAAAGTAAATGTTCCAATTTTGTTTAGAAAAGTATACTTTACCTAATTTTTCTAAGCTATAAATAGCATATAAAAAGAAAAAAAATCTTGTGACTCTAGAAAATAATAGAATCAACAATGACTGAAGCAAATGGAAAAAATTTTTAAAAATTGTTTTAGTCCTCTATCAGTTTCATTGCATGGAATTAATTCTTGATCTGCTTGATGTTGTGTTAGCAATCTCTATAAACCCATCAGTTTTTTTTAATTAGAAGTTTGGAAGCTTTTATCTAGTTCTATGGTGTGAACTCCAGAGTTATTAGAAACTTGTACTTAAGAGTACATGTTATGGTCCCTTTCTATGAATTTCCTTGTAGCCAATTACAAACCATCCTTTCTTGGACAACAAAAGTAAAATAATACTTGTTTGTGGACGACTAAAGGTTTGGAATAGCCATAGTTAAAGATGTAATTCACAAAATTATTTCTGTGGCATACAAAAATTTAACATAATACTCAGAATTATGACTGATCACATATACCAAGACACATAATATTTTTTATAAATCTTATACAATTTGGAACACAGATTAACAACACATTTATACAAACTTAACTCAAAGAAGGAACATTATTTCCAATTTGACAATCCTACCCACATAATTTAACATATCAAATAAGCCTAATATTGTCTCTCTTGGACTTCTAGATGTCCTTTTTTTTTTTTTTTTTTTGGAGATCTAACAGTTAGTTTGAGGTTAAAAAGACAATTTAGAATTTGAAATTTGATTTTAGGAAGCCTGTCAAATATGTCAAAGGTTTAAAATACTTGATCAAAATAGGATCACAGGTTCAGTCAAAAAGGCAATTAAAAGATTTCAACAAGTAAAAACCTTTATTCTTTGATGGGGAGATGTCTCAATTTTCCAAACAAAAGACCTAATAAAGATAGCATGAGGTAAAGTCTTCCCTCTCGTTTTTGCAGTTCACTCAAATGGCGAACCAGTCTTTTTAAATCCTTTATTAATATTATACAATTTGCATAATATTAATATTTATCAATTAATTTATAATTAATTATTTTTAATTATATTGTATTGTAATTAATTCATTATAATTAATTATAATTAAATGTAATTACTTTATAATGAATTAATTGATTAATTTATTCATATTATTAATGTTAATATTATACAATTTGTATAATATCGATATAATATTAATAAAGGATTTTAAAAGACTGATTCACCATTTGAGTGAACTGTAAAAACGAGAGGCCAAGACTTACCTCATGCTGTCTTTATTAGGTCTTTTGTTTGGAAAATTGAGACGTCTCCCCATCAAAGAAGAAAGGTTTTTACTTGTTGAAATCTTTTAATTGCCTCTGTGACTGAACCTGTGATCCTATTTTCATCAAGTATTTTAAACCTTTGGGGTGGGGGGAGGGGGGAGGGATAGCATTAGGAGATATACCTAATGTAAATGAGGAGTTAATGGGTGCAGCACACCAACATGGCACATGTATACATATGTAACGAATCTGCATGTTGTGCACATGTACTCTAGAACTTAAAGTATAATAATAAAAAAAAAGAAATGCAGGATTTTGTGGTCCTACAGACTTGTGGGATCAAATCTGCATTTTAAGAAGATCTCTAGGTTTTTTTTTTTTTTTTCTGCATATGACAGTTTAAGAAACACTAATGTTAAGAGCCACCATCTGAACAATGGTTAGCTTTGTGGATAAGATGTAGTGTTAAGTTGTTATCTGTCTTATACATCAGACTTTGAGAGTTAGGTTTTCAAACCTTAATATATTCCTTTCTCTTACTGTAGAAGGAGAACTATAAAATCCTATTTTGTCTTAAATAATTCTCATATTACTCCATGTGTGTAACCTAACCTTCTCAGCCAAGCTATAGGGCAACAATCATATCAAAATAAATGATTCCACCTTTATCGGGTACAGAATGCATTTAAGCCACTGTTTCTGACATTAAGGAGGTGGTGTTAGAGAGACGTATAGGTAATTTCCTTGCCAACAGTACATATTTGTTTGGCTTTTGTTTATCTGTGTCACTTGTTTCTTGTCTCTTATTGTCACTGGACTGTTACCTTCTACGGGGCATAGATCCTGTTCACTGTTTCACCTGTAGCTCCTACCACAGTGCCTAGCACATAGTAGATGTTCAATATATATTTGTTTAATAAATAAATGACTTTACAAAACATAAATAAATGACTTTACAAAACATTTTTGTAACTTTTTGTTTAGTAAATAAATGACTAAACAAAATTAATTTAATAAATAACAAATTATACAAAAAATTTTATTCAAAAGAGAAAGGCAAATTCTACCTTTGTATTAGTTGTATTAATATTAAACCTAATTTTCATAAAACTTTCTAAACTAATATACCTAATCTCAATTAGCTTTGACCACATGATATTTCTATAAACTTTCTATAATCTTTTAGATTTTATTTTCTTTCTTTCTCCAACTTTCTATGTCCATTTAGTTTACCTATCTCATTTTTTTGTTTCATATTTTGTGAAAACAACTTTGAAATAATTTTTCAACTAGACAAAATCGTTTTTGAAACAAAAGCATGTTCTCATACTTCATAATCTCATTAATAAAAAATCTTGCTTTCCATGTATACTCTGTATACAGAATTGAGTCGTTTTTTTAATCTCCCTAATTAGTTACTATATATTAGTAAGAATTTTACTATTATTAACCTTAATTCATAGCAAAAATCTAAGAAGTATGAAATTTTTATCTGTCAGTTACATGCCAACAATTTATGAATACACATTTTATGACTTTAAAAAATAGAAGATTTCAAATGAAACAATTTTTCAACATGAAACAGAACATATTTACTAATAGAAATAAATATGTTTTGTTTTTCTAAAATAATAAATCAAAAGTATACAAGTTTAAACTCATATTTAATAACTAATATCATAGCATTATATCTTACTTGGAAAGGATCTAGATTTTCAATAACTATTCATTATTTAATTTATTTTAGCAAAATTTAGAAGGGTGTAGTTACCAAAAACATTTGAGAAACCTTTTTAAGTAAATACATTATAAAACCTAATTATTATTAAAAGTTTATCTATAAACTTGTATCTCATTTACAGCTATTTATTTAATTTTAATAATTATGTTTGGAAAAATTTTATACGACACTAAACAAATCTAGCCATAATCTCAAATTAAATTTTCTATTCTACATATTTATATGTCTGTTAGGGAAGTATCATAATAGCAAGAACCTTAAATTTACATATAAACTTTTCTGATAGCTCAAAAGACATAGTTATTTTTATTAAACCAACAATATTAAAAATTATATTTATTGAAAAATTTATTTACGTCATGTAAAAGATTTGAGCTCATTTATTTAATTTATGACTACTTCTTTCAGTTAATTTGGTACCATATAGATAATATTAAAATATACGTATAGACATATACATACAGGTAGAGACAGCATGTAACATACATATGTACCTGTTTATGTATCCCAAAGCCAAAGAGATGAAAAAGTTCGATGCAAAGGAGCGTAGAGTTTAGGTTTGAGAGGAATCTGTCCACTCACATCTCGTGGGACTCCATGAGGAAAAACAGAGATTCCTCCCAAGGAGAGGCACCTGAGATTCCTCCCAAGGACAGGCACCTGAGATTCCTCCCAAGGAGAGGCACCTCGGATTCCTCCCAAGGACAGGCACCTGAGATTCCTCCCAAGGAGAGGCACCTGAGATTCCTCCCAAGGAGAGGCACCTGAGGCACTTCTGTTTTCTCAAGGCACCCCAAGGCTGTTAATCTTTAGGTCCCCTCATATGGCAGCACAGGTGGCAAGAGGAGAGACAGAAGTAAATGAAAAAACATGTATTTGAGGCAAAAGTCACCTCACCAAGAGGAGGAACAGATATTTGGAGGAGTTTTAAAAAGACAGGAATTCAGTCAACTTAGAAGTCTTTATGGAGAGAGAGCAGAGGCCTTAAAAATATATATTATATATATTTATATTTTTATATTTTATATATTCTATAATTATATATTATATTATTACATAATATATATTCTATAATTATATATTATATTATTATATAATATATATTCTATATTTATATTTGTAATTATAATTAAATTTTATATTTAGTTCATTTTTATATAATTTTGTATTATATTATGTAATATATATTTATAGTTATAATTAAATTTTATATTTAATTTACATTTTTATAATTGTATTTTTTATAATTTTAATTTAATTTTCCTAATTAAATTATATATTCCCCAAATTAAATATATATTTATATATTTTAAAATATATACACACATATGTGGGTGTGTTTATGTATGTGCACATATATACATATATAAAGCATATATACACATATAATTGAAAGTTGACATTTAGGCTATTTATATGTGTCTGTGTGTATACATGTGTGTGTATGTGTGTGTATAGGTATGTGTGTACATGTATGTGTATATATGTATAATATGTGTCTGTGTGTATATGTGTGTTTATACATATGTGTATGTATGTGTATCTGTATATATGTGTATATATGTACATGTGTGCATATTTGTGTATATATATATGTGTATACACACACACACAGAAACACACACGCACACAATATTTAGCCTAAATGTCAGCTTTCAATTAAGTCAAGTTTTGACTATAGAGCTCCTAAAATTCTTTTTAGCTGGAAAAAATAGCAAACATTCATGATTTTGGCTTTTCCTTTCAGAAATTTCACTCTATTTCAAATCTGACTTCAGCTGGCTGCTTAGCTAAGTCCTGAGATGCTAAGATTTCAAGTCATGGTTAAGATTGACATCTCCAAGGGACTGAAAATACCCTCTACGTACTTTCAGATAGAAAAGTCCGTATTTCCTGCCGGGAGCGGTGTTTCACGCCTGTAATTCCAGCACTTTGGGAGGCCAAGGTGGGCGGATCACCTGAGGTCGAGAGTTCGCGACCAGTTTGGCCAGCATGGAGAAACCATGCTGGCCAGTATGGTGAAATTCCCTCTCCACTAAAAATACAAAAATTAGCCAGGCATGGTGGCACGCACCTGTAGTCCCAGCTACCTTGGAGGCTGAGGAAGAAGAATCGCTTGAACCCGGGAGGCGGAGGTTGCAGTGAGCCAAGATCGCGCCACTTCACTCCAGCCTGGCGACAGAGCCGAGACTCTGTCATAAATAAGTAAATAAATGTCCATATTTCCAAAAGCATACCTACTTTAATTGTGATTCAAAACCAGTAAGCCTTTTTATGGCTTATAATCGAATGAAAGAATTAGATTTCCAAAGAGCGTGCAAAAATGTAATCCCCAAGATCTGAAGTTTCTTCCAAAAATGGAAGATAAAGTAAAGATCCTCATTATTAGCAAGGCAGGAAGGCTGAAGCAAGACAAATTCCTGAGAACTGACATATTTGGACAAATGGACATTTCATACCTGCAGGTGCATTCCCCACCTGGTTGCCTGACATAAGCTCTACAATTTGTGCTCTCCAGGGTGGCAGAGACCAGAGAATCAATTCACCGTTTACAAAGTCAAGCTTTTCAAGAAATAAAACAGGAGGAAAAGCGAACTTATGATTTTCCTCTTTATGAAAAACCACACAAAGAGACAGAGAAAATGAAAACAAGGACTATATTTGGAAAATTAGAGATCAATAACCCAACAGACACTAACAACAAATCCACAAGAATCACAAATCCAAAGAACTATTTTTTTTATAAATGTTTTTCCCATATCAGTTTGAACCTGGAAAGGAAGGGACAAGCAAAAATGTTAACCATCCTCTCTCAACCAGGAGCCACAGGTAGAAGTCTGGGAGAAGCTGAATTTGGTAAGGAATTTTACCCATTTTTGCTGGTTTTTGCCAGTTTTCTCTTAGGATTTCATTTCTCTTAGGTCTCATTTAGGATGTTTATACATTTTGACTTTCGTGAATAGTACTGCAATGTGTAAGCTTCTTGAAAGCATAAAATTTTCTTTAGTCGTTGCTATAACTTCATAACTTAGAATAACACTTAATATACAAAAGTCAATCCATAGCATATTTTTAATATATAGAAGAAAGCAGACCATTACAGATTATGTATTGAACAATGCTTTCAGATTAATAAAATGCATATAGTAGAATACAAAAAAATATATAAAATGATGTCAGTTTTGAGATCAGTATTCGGTTATACTGTACATGTAGTTTTTTTGGAACAATGAATTTAAAATATGGTAGAAGTGATTCATTCTCTTAAAAAAACAGAACAAGTAATTCAAAAAGTGAAAATACAGAAGCCAAATACCAACCAAATCACCAACATCCACTGAATTGCTTTCCTCAGCAATATAGTCACACTTTTCATCCGTTCTGTTTGTAGTTTGCCTATTTTATCTAGATTTTAAGCTCTTGTTCTAGTGTCTATATTCGTTAATAACTTTGTGCATACTGTTATCTATATTATCTGTTATAGTGTAATATGTTAATTACCTGGAGTTATGTTTTCTTACAGACTGAATTCTTTACCTACATGCCACATTGTTTTCTTTCACTGTTTTAGGAGAACATATTTGTAATTATTAATAATGCTTAGTGTCGTCTTTATGGTTAAGTTTTGTGGATAGCTTTGTCCAGAACTTCCCATTTTACTCTGATTTAGTGTGGCTGAATTCTTCTTGACACCTTTCCCACTTGATTAAGATCAGTTTACTTTTCAGCATTGAGCTAGAGTTTGAAAACTTAGTCTTGCTTTACATTCATTTTTTTTTTTTTCTGAAACACAAAAGCATGAGGGATTGGAAAGAAACGGAACTGAGCCTCTCTCTGGGCACGGGTTTCTGGGCTTTGTATTCTCCTGGGTCCTAATAAATGACCACTGGGATTCATTCCATATAGCCAAAGACATGAAAACGTTTGAGACCTTTATTGTTCCACCAACATCTACTTAACGCATTTATTTTTTATTCTCTCCAAATGAAAACCTATAATTGAAAATTCGAAATACTCTTTCAACTCAACCTCTCTGCATCAGAAAACTGGGGTGTTATAAAAAAAAACTCATGCAACTCATTATTAAACCACACAGTTGGCTCTTTCATAAAGTACGTTCAAACCCATTTTCTCTTTTTATTGTTGCTGGTAAACTATTTTCTCTAATTTTTTTGTTATTTGTTAAATTATGAGGGTGTTTTCTCTGATTTTTGAAAGTTTTCTCTGTATTAATACATTTAGTTTCTTAAACTATAAAATTGGGGTTATAACAATATTTATTTCATAGTCTTGTTTTGGATATTACTTAAGAAAAGGAGCCAGATGCAGTGGCTCATGCCTGAAATCCCAACACTTTGGGAGGCTGAAGTGGGCAGATCACTTGATCTCAGGAGTTCGAGACCAGCCTCAGAAATATGGTGAAACCCTGTCTCTACTAAAAATACAGAAATTAGCCATGCATGGTGGCAAGTGCCTATAGTCCCAGCTACTTGGGAGGCTGAGGTGAGAGGATCACCTGAGCCCAGAATGTCGAGGCTACAGTTGAGCGAATATTGTGACAATGCACTCCAGTCTGGGCAACTGGAGTGAGATGTCATTGACAATTGTTAGGATTATTGTTTTATATATTCACACACAAAGCATTATTAATATGCATTTCTTACTAAGATATTTAGACTTGATGCATATGCAAATATGATGAGGTGAGAGAGATGGTATTTTTTAATGTATTTATCATAAAAACTATCTTTGGGTATTTTCTTGAAATGAGAAATTAAGTATATTTTTAGGTTACATATAAAATGTACATATATGTTACAATGGGTAGAGAGAAAGCTTAACTTCTAAACAAAGGTAACACTTTTAATTTTGGAAATTGTATTCTAATGAAGCAGATGGAAAAGCTGTAGGTAAACTTCAACTGCCATTAATTATGTATATCTGTTGGATTTCAACAGCTGGTATCATTATAAATGTTATTAGCCTTATTAGGCATGTATGTAGCATTTTATTGCAAGATGTTTTACAGTCTTTAATTAGTTCATAACAGTCTTAAGAAATGGATGAGAGTGGTTATACCATATTTCAAGAAGCAAAAACCAAACTTGCAATAATTATCTCTACAACTAATGCTGTTGGTATTTTACATATAGCATAAACACAAATTCTCTAATAAGTGCTTATAATCATACTCTCTACTCCGTTTGAAATTCAGCTTTTACCTAAATCTTATGATGTTATTTGATCACCATGCTTTTACATGTTTCTGACATGAGACAATTCTCCTTCATTCAGTGCTTTTTGAATAGTCTTTTAGGGGATGAGTATTAGTTTTGTCTATTGTTTTTTTCTTTTACAAAAAAAAATGGTTCTCTACAGGAACATAGCTTTAAATAAATTATTTTAACTTTAATTTTATAAAACTGGGACAGCAGCATAAGTCTACATATTTAAAATATTGATATATAACTTCCAAAATAGCTTTTGAGTTTAAAATTTTTATAATAGAATAGAATAATATAATTTTTATAATTCTATTCATAGTCTGATCAAATTTATAAGCATTAAATAAATCTAACACTCTCACCACAACTATGTGTACTAATCAAACAATCAGCAAAAAGTGCTTGGACATTAATCTAGGTGTCAGATGCTTTTTAAAGTTAATGGAGTGGATTGGATAGTGGAGATTATGACTTTTGCTCTGTTAAAACAATGAAGACTTAAAGCTATTTAATTCTCTTTGTAGAGTTTTTTGCATAAACACCTTAAAAATGTTTAAAACTATATTGATGATTATGTGACAATTAGAACATGTATGGATAATAAAATGAATGATTTTAATTAGCTTAAAGGTGATAATTTATATTCACTTGGCACTGTTACTTGACACAGTGTATTACTTAACTAGTTAAAATTAGGTCATTTAAACATTTAAGATGTTAATTAGCAGTTTATAGGCAATTGAATATATTCTCAACTTTTCTACATTTAATATATTCATCTCTCTTATTTACCTTCTCATGAATACAATTCAAGAAAATGCATATTTCACACAAGGACAAGTGTAAGTTAAGTGGTACTGAAAATAATTACAGAAAGAATTATTGCTGCACAATTCTTATGAAACCGAACTAGAGCTACACTATTGATATATTTATTGGAACCATCATCAGGGTGAATTTTAAATTATCATTTGGGTTTATTGACTTCAGATAGGTCACTGAAATGAAAACTGTATTATTGCACATGATGCTTGCTTGTATTGCTCCAGGAATAGCACTGAAGACTAATCATTGCCAAGGGAATTTATTAAATAGCTATTCATAAACTAGCACTATCCAAAGTTGCAGAAACAGGATCAGAAGTGATATCTAGTACCTGTGCTCTAAGGGCATAATATTTGAGCCAAATATAACTATTAAAAGATTTGTAGTATAGATTAAAATATTCACT
Source organism: Homo sapiens (assembly GCF_000001405.40). Lineage (NCBI taxonomy): Eukaryota > Metazoa > Chordata > Mammalia > Primates > Hominidae > Homo > Homo sapiens. The sequence goes on from NC_000003.12 coordinate 83,921,942, forward strand.
TTTCATTGAGACAAAAAAGCTTAAGCTCAGTTTCTATAGAAATGAAGACTAATCTGTGACTTTTTCAGTAATTTTTCATTTTAACTCTGGAAATAACCACTCCAGCATAAGAATATATTTGAATAATCAAAAATAAATAAAGGCTTTGTTTTTTATTTCAAAAATTGAATTATATATGTAAATCAGATTAAACACAAAAGATGTTCAACACACAATTAATTTAAGAAAACCTTAAAAATTGCAGGCACAGAGGATGTTAATAATGTGGTAATTAAAATGAAATTCTGAATTACAAATGTATTCCCCACTATAAAGAGAACCTTTTATGAAGTTAATCTATTATTTGATTTATAATTCTTTGGATTATTTACAACTTTTTAAGAACATATTGTTTAAAAGGAATGCCTGAACTGAGTCATTTCCTCTTTAACAGAAATAAAGATAACTATCAATATAATTAACTTTATGTGGGTCACCATTGATAAAAATTTACCTACTTTTGAATCATTATGTATCTTACAGCAAAGTGGTTCCCAACTTTGCCTCCTTTTTAAAATCACCTGGAGGGTTTAAAAATCTATGTCCAAGTTATTTATGTGTTTGTTTTTATCAGGGTTTTCAATACAAGGCCAAGGATTAGAAATCAGTTTTTTAGATTAGTCATTTGTCAAACTTAAAATGCAATTTCCAATCCAAGAGCTCAAGACATAGTCCAAGATTTTGTATCTCTAACAGGTTCCCACGTGATGTGGTAGCTGTAGGTCCTTGGACGTCACCTTGAGAAGCACGGTGTAAAAGAACTTTTATCAATACAATATTACTCAAATATTATGTGATAATCTAATGCATTATGTATTTGATAAAAGAAAGCAGAGCTATATGAAATTTGTGACTTTTTTCTATAATTGTTAATTCTTTATAGTGTTATTAATGTTATTAAAGCTTAAAAATTTGTTGGACATAAGCTTAAATTTTATTACATTGACTATAGATCTTTAGAAATACTTATTGATATAGCATGATATATTGTTCTTTGGATAAATGGTTCTGTATATAGTGTTCTAATTATTTAGAAGATTTTATTTTTCTATAGTATTTTTGAAGATTTAGGATATCAGTAGTATAATTCATTTGAGTACCTAGAAATTTTAAATGACTTTATTAACATTTCCAGAAAGTTTGTCTGTCTGTTTTAACGTATTATTTTATTTGAATCAAGAAAAAAATTAGGGTCCAGTTATTTCCTTTGATAATAATACATTACAAACACCATTCATCTAAAAATCTCAAAAACCAAATCATATAGGTTGTTGGTAATCTACAGATTGATTAATTCTGCTGTAGTTTGATTTGATTAACCAAGAAGTAATTTAAAAAGGAATACAATCAATATATATCTTATGCCTCTAATTTTGCAAATTGTGTTCTTTTCACTGTATGTTGAGGAGATACTAATAACATTAATCTGCTTCTTTAAATTTACTTTGCTTCTGTTACTTATATTCAGTTGAAGAATCTCATTTGCCATCACTTAATTACATTTTATTAATCAAAGCCATACATCTATGTAGTCATTTCCTTCCCAGTTATCTTCAATCTGATTAATACAAGTAACTTTTTAAAGTGATCCTGTAAGTATATCAAACATGAAGTGAAACAGTTATTAAAGCTATTTTGATTTTGAATATTGACATCCTGAGTTAGAAGAGGATTCCATTATAATTCCCTAAAAGTGTTTCTTTTTTTCTCTTTCTTTCTTTTTTTTTTTTTTTTTCTGACATGGAGTCTCGCTCTGTCACCCAGACTGGAGTGCAGTGGTGCAATCTCGGCTCACTGCAAGCTCTGCCTCCCGGGTTCGCGCCATTGTCCTCCCTCAGCCTCCCAAGTAACTGGGACTACAGGGGCCCGCCACAACGCTCGGCTAATTTTTTGTATTTTTAGTAGAGACGGGGTTTCACCGTGTTAGCCAGGATGGTCTCGATCTCCTGACCTTGTGATCCGCCCGCCTCAGCCTCCCAAAGTGCTGGAATTACAGGCGTGAGCCAAAGCGCTCAGCCCACAAAGGTGTTTCTAAACTGCACCACTTTATAAATTGGACTGGGATGTGTTACTGCTGTTTAAATACTATTTTTTTTCAATTTTTTAGAATCACTACCACCACTACCATCAGAGTAATGATAAGAAAAGTCTCATGTTTTGTTTGGTACAGAAGACAGTGTTTAATTTAGAACGAGCAAGATTTATTAACTTTTTAATCAAAATGAAACAGCCATAGAGCCTTTTAAAAAAATTTATGAGCTAGGGAGAAGTGTGAAATATATCAAACTAATGTGTATGAAAATCACCCATTGAAAGCACACCTCAGGTAACATTCCCTAGAATTGTAAAACTTAGGTACTCATCAATGCGTTAAACTAGCTCACACTTCTGTGCAGTGGTTGAGGTGATTTAATTATTGTCATGTTGAAAAGACACATGCTATCTGGGTACATAATGACTTCTCGGGAAACAATGACAATTAGACAGTCACTTCTATTACAGCTCCTGCAGCGTGCATTGCTAACAAGGTCCACGAGTCATAACACCAGACACCAAAGTGCGACCATCCCTTTCTTTCTCTTGTTTGAAAAGAAATGGAACAAGCCATCCAACACAATACTCCAATCTTCCCTATTCAGTAGTATTATATCTTCTCAGGTCTTATATTTCTTTTCTGAAGATATTTTTGTAAGCTTCATTTTAGTTTTGAACAAAATGTATCCTAGAATTTTGAGAACTGCAGAAGCAAATCAAAGTCCATATCTAAAATATACAAAATATGTAAATAAAAATTATACATTAGCAATTTTTGTTATTTCAAATCCAGATATTTTTTATAGTGACATTAACAGCAAGGAAACATTACAATATAAATGACATTAAAATTGTCTGTAAACTACAAAGCTGAAAATTAGATTTAAATTTATGATTCTCTTGTCTTTTAAATTTTGAAACAATTTAATACATATAAAAAAGTTGAAAAGTAGTACAGATATTTTCTGTGCAACCTTTACCCAGTATCCCCTAATAATAACACTTTGCTTAATCACAAAATTAAGATATTAATACTAATACTATGCTAATAACTAAGCTAAAAGGTTTTATTTAGATTTTACAAGTTTTTCCACTAACATTATTTTTCTGTTCCAGAGTTCAATCCAGGATTCAAAAGTGCATTTGGATGTTAGGCATCCTCCAATCTGGAACAGTTATTCAGACCTTTTTGTTTTCAATGACCTTGATATTTTTGAAGAATGTTGGTAAGATATTGTCTAGAATGCGCCTCAATTTGGGTTTAACTAATGTCTTTTCATGATTAGATTTGACATACATTTTTTTTGACAACAATAATATGTAGCATTTGCCCTTCTCAGCGAAACATGACAAGATAATGGTAACATATCTGATTGTTGGAGATGCTAACTTTGATCACTTGACTAAAGTGATGTTTCTGACTTTCTTTCCTCTAGTTATTATTTTTTCTTTTATAATTAATAAATATCCTGAGAGAAATCCTTTGAGACTATGCAAATATTTGTTTTTCTTCAAGCTTTTGATCACCCATTTTGTTATACAATACGGATCTTGCCTTCTTTTCATTTGTTTTCCTTCTAGCTTTTGATCACCAATTTTATTATTCATTATGGATCTTGCCTTCTTTCATTATTACTGTAGTGTTCTAATGGTGATATTCTACTTTCCTCATTCATTCTGTATTACTCATTGAAATTTTCCTGTAAGGAGGAACTGTGCCATATCTCCCAATAATCTTTTTATTCAATTTGTGTATTTATTTATGAAAATATGAACTCATGGGTATGGATTTTATCCTATGGGTTATAATAATATACTATTTGATTATCAATGTTGTTGCTAAGTTTGTTTCAGGTTTGGCTATTTGGAGCTATTTTGCAATGTCTTATATGCCCTTTCAAGATGCATGTATCTATGCCTATGTCCATGTCTGCCTGTCTATCTATTTTTATCTATCTATCTATCTATCTATCTATCTATCTATCTATCTATCTCAGCATTTCTCTACTCTCTTGCACCCTATGATTCTCCAGGCATAACTTGATTTTCCCTGCTACAAGTCTGGAATCAATCATTTCTCCAAGAAGCTCTTGTTTCTTTTCTTAGAAAATTGTATTTAGAGACCAAAATAAGTGCATTAATTGTGTTCATTGCTACAAATATGACATAGTTTGGATATTTGTTCCACTCAAATCTTATGTTGGATTGTAGTCTCTAATGCTGAAGACAGGGCCTGGTGAGAGGTGTTTGGGTCATGGGGGTGGATCCCTCATGGCTTGGTGCTATCTTCATGAAAGTGTGTGAGTTCTAGCAGCATTTGGTTGTTTAAAACTGCGTGGCATAGCCCCTGGCATATTCTCTCTCTCTCTCCCCCCACCCCCTCTCCTCCTCCGCAGAAGATACCACACCCCCTAGCTCACTTGCTCCCATTATCATCATGTGATGGGCCTGCTCCCACTTTGCCTTCGGCCATTTACAAGCTTCCTGAGACCTCAACAGAAGTGAATGTAGCTATCCTTCCTGTACAGTCTGCAGAACGTTGAGCCAATTAAACCTTCTTCTTATAAATTACCATGTCTCAGTTATTTATTTATAGCAGTGCAAGAACAGCTTAATACAAAGAGTACATTATTTCTAGGGCCTCTCAATAGACAGAGCTAGGAAGTAGAATAATGTATACTAACTGGTGTATAATATATATTTTAAGGAGTTTTTACATTCAACACCAGAGAACTTATTTCTTCAATAAGAAACTAAGTTGTAATACTTATTATTGATTGATTGATTGATTAAATGCTAATATACGCATAACATAGTTTTATAATTGTAAGCCATACACCTGTGAGGAAAACAATTACTAAATATTATTAATGGAACACAGTATTTGCATACAGTTAATTTTTTTTATTTTTACTTTGCTCTTATACCACCCCTGAAACACCATTTTCCAAATAGTTACAGAGGTTTGTTTATTTTCATCCTTACTCTCTTAGGTGTAATTATTAATTTGTAATATACTTAGGTTTATCTGTTACTGACTTTATTCTACTTTCAGTTTCCCTCTTTGTGATCCTCTAAAATTTATATGTTTAAGCCCTAATTCCAATATGACTGTATTTGAAAATACTTCAAAGAGATAATTAAGGTTAAATGTAATCATAAGGGTGGGACTCTAATCAATATGACTGGTGTCCTTCAGGAATGTGGTAGCACAGTGAAAAAGGTTGTGTAAAGACCCAGCATGAAGGCGGCCATCTGCAAGCCAGGAAGAGCAGTCTTAGAAGAAACCAACCCTGCTGGCAATTGATCTTGGAATTCTAGTTTTTGGAACTTTCGAAAACTAAATTGTTGTTTTAGCCTCCTGGTTTTTGGTATTTTGGGTCAGCTTGAGAAGACTAATATGCTCTCCTTTCCTGGTTGATTTTTAAAAACTTAAACAGTAAAATTTATTATTTTTGGTATAAAATTATATGTAATTTAAAAACATTTTTATTTTTTCCTAAGGGTATTATTTTACATAACTATAATATCAAACTCAGAAAATTGGTATTAACATAAATCTATAGAACTTATTCAAATTTCATGCTTTCATGTATGTGTATGTGTTTGTACATAGCTTCCTTTCATGGAAAGCCTACCGTCATTTGGAGGTGGAAGGAGGTCCTTCTGAGAATTTCTGGCCGAGGCTACCTGTCGGTGCTACCTGAAGGCCCTTGGGCTAACTCCAGCCCATTGGATATCATGCACAGGATTTGCAAACTTTTCCTATTGCAGTTACCTTCTTTCCTTTCTGCAGCTGCTATCCCCTCTCTGTATGCAGCGTAGCAGGACTTTTTACAGCCCAGGGAGATAGTCTTGTTAGGCAGGATTAGTGGGTGCTGTAGTAACTGGGAATGTAGCTCAAGGGATTGCTGTTTTTTGTGATTTTTCTAGAAACAGGGGAATTTCATGATCCAGGTTTAAGAGATTATCTAACTCTCAATGATGGCACTTCCTGGGGTTGGACTTGGATGGGGGGTTATTTCCCCCCAATTAATGTTCCTCTCTCCATTTACACTGTTTTGTTTTGTTTTGTTTTGTTTTGTTTTGAGATGGAGTCTCGCTCTTGTCACCTAGGCTAAAGTGCAATGGCATGATCTCGGCTCACTGCAACCTCCTCCTCCCAGGTACAAGTGATTCTCCTGACTCAGCCTCCTGAATAGCTGGAATCACAGGCGTGTGCCACACTCCCAGCTAATTTTTGTATTTTTAGTAGAAACGAGGTTTCACCATGTTGGCCAGGCTGATCTCAAACTGCTGACCTCAACTGATCCGCCCGCCTCATCCTCCCAAAGTGCTGGGATTATAGGTGTATGCCACTGTGCCCAACCCAGGCTGTTTCTTTTTCCATGGGAGGGGCCATAACTGCCCAGTTGAAATGGATAGACTCCCTATGAGACTAACTTTCTCTTAACTGGGAGGCATGTTGTGGGGGCCTAACACACCTTAGATCTCTCTCTTTACCTCTTTGTCTAAAGAGCATATGGAAGCAAAGCTACTGTCTTATATTTCAAGGTTTGTAGCGCCACCTAGTGGAATGGGAATCCTCTCTACGGGGAACCTTGATGGCTCTTTGCCAAAACTTCTAGTTTTCCAATTCTTCACTCTTTTGTGCCCTTCTACTAGTGACAAGGTTTTATTCTCCCTCTGTGAGTGGCAAAACTCTCTCTTTGATAGTGAGGAGGTAAATGTCTTCTGAAACCAAATTTCGGCCTCATGTGATTCCTACATTCTTTTGAGACACCTATTCTGCCATCAATTAGAATGGTATTTAAGTAGAAAGGGGCTTTTAGGTCTGGAAGTCAACTGGAACCACTGCTTAAGAATAAATACTTTAGCATGGGCCATAATAGCAGAATATAGGGCTCAACCCAGAATATTTCCTCCATTAAGAGGCCTGGCCCAAATGTAACTGTTACATAGTCTCTCAAGAGATCCACCTATCAGGGAGCCAGGCAGATCCCACAAGTGTAGGAAATCAAAGGAAAATCATCAGCAGAGAAATGGGGTCTTGCAGGTGAACATGACTATTACTGCTGCTTAGCTCCTCCAGATCCATGTGTGAGGGTCATGCCTTCATCGATGGTTGGCACCTTTAATAGATGCCAGGCCCCCAGAGAACCGAGGAGGGAAAATAGAAGGGGGGACATCCCCAATGTTTTGCTCTCTACCCTAGGTCACTCCAAAGGAAGAATGAAGACTGAGGAACACCTTTGTCCTTTTTCTTTGTAGATGGGTAATAAACCATCTTCAACCTGCACTCCCCTTGAGTGCAGATGGGATCACTGGGACTCCTTTGACCATTAACTGTAAACAAAAATTGCCTCATATTCATTTGCACTCAGGCATGGCTATCTCACCAACAGCAGAATGGGGGTGAGGAGCTGGTCTCTTCAGGAAAATGCTAATATCAATAATATTGGACAACTAGATCTTTTCTGCAGGTGGAAGGGCAAATGGTCTGAGGTTCCCTATGTGTAAGCATTCTTTGCCTTGTGAGACAACCCAGACCTTGTCATCATTGTAAAATGGACACTGTTCTCTTAACGATCATATAGGCAAGCCTACAGGAGATAATTCCTCAAAGTCAAAGAACCAAACTCCCAGGGAACCCTCAAATGCAACTTCCAGATGCCCTGGCACTTCCTGCACCCCTATTCACATCAACAACTTCTCCAGTTCTACCACCCAAAACCCCAGATTTTTCTATGTTTTTTTTTTCTTCCTTCTTTCCCAGTTGTAAATAGCTCCTATCTCTTCTTTTATAATGTCCCTCCAAACTGGGGAAAGTTAATTTCTCAAACCTTAAAATGCTTGGCTAAGAGTTGAGCTTGAGGGAAGGGAACCCAAGCTTGACATGCTGGCAAAAAGGTAAAAATTTTGTTGCCAGTTGGGCTTTTGGCTTCTCTCTCCCTTTGCAAACTGGTAAAAGGAATAATAAGGATCACTGTTTATATTCTCTGTAGAGTTGTGATTAATGAAAAAGGATTTGTGACGTTAGTTTTAAGCTGCAGTCAATCTGGTGTGCTTTGTGTGTCCTTCTGTATGGTTCTGTCAGAAAGAGGGTTACCTTAGGATAGAATGTGAGTCTAGAACTCCATAAGCCTGCTGTTCAAGCCAGCCCGGTAAACTGGTCAGTAACAAACTTTGTTACAGGCCTCCATTTTGTTTTACATTCTTGGGCATAACCTATAACCACATAGCAGAACTTTGTTTTAGCCTCTGCCATTTTGCAATGGCAGCCCAAGTTCAATCCTTGCTTGGGAAATGAGTACTTTTGGATTAATATCTGTGACTTCTGCCATTTGCTGATTCTCTTCTCCTCCATGAACAACTTCTGACTTCCTTTCCTAATCCTTTCTTTCTCTGAGTTGCCTTTAAAGTTTCTAGATTTTGTAAAAGTGTAACTGCTCAATGGGCTCATCTTGTCTACTTCCTGGACAGAACCTATTTATGAAAACAGGGCAGCTGCAATGAAGAAAGGGTGATTCACGTGGGCTGGCTGTGTGAGAGACTGAAGTTTTGTTATTACTTCGGGTCAGTCTCCCTGAGCATTTGGAGAGCAGAGTTTTTGAGGATGGCTTTGTGGGTGAGGGGAGGCCAGTGAGCCAGGAGTGCTGATTGGCCAGGTCAGAGATAAAATTGTAACGAATTGAGGCTGTCTTCCTTTGCTGAGTCAGTTCCTGGGTTGGAGCCACAAAATCAGATGAGCCAGTCTATTGGTCTGGGTGGTGCCAGCTGGTCCATCAATTTCAGGGTCTGCAGAATATCTCAAGTGTTGATCTTGGGAGCAGTTTAGGGAGGGTCAAAATCTTGTGGCCTCCAGCTATGTGAATCTTAAACCATAGTTTATAATCTTGTGCTTGGTTTCTTGGTCCTACAAAGGCAGTCTGGTCCCCAGGCAAAAAGGAGATTTGTTCTTGGACAGGGCTCTTATCATCTTTGTTTTGGACTATAAACTATGAACTAAGTTTCTCCCAGTGTTGGTCAGCCTTCACCAAGGAATGAACAGGGACAGCTTGCAGGCTAGAAGTAGAATGGAGTTGGTTGGGTCAGATATCTTTAACAGTTTTAGTTACAATTTTGCAATGGTGATTTCAAAATCGGCTTACCACTTCTTTGAAAATAACTCGTACAATCGAAGTTAAATCATAACCTTAATTGAGGCTTGTTGGTTTCACCTGTCAGATTACATTTGATAAAGTTCAAAAGCCAGAAATCTTAACTGGTTGGCATGGCTAAAAGTCAGGTAACTAGAGATTTAAAAGGATTTTCTTAAAGATCACTCAGCTTAATTAAAACTGAATATCCAAGTTATAGGTATATTTAAAAGGCCTTTACATTTTTCTCTTCTTGGAGCTTGTTTTTATACAAAAGTTTTTTTCCTCAGTCAACTGAATTCTTTTTCTCTGTTTTGTCTTGCCACTCTTATAGCATGCATAAGAGGCCCCAAAATAACTTCCAATGGTGTGGGATTCTTTGGGTGCCCCAAATTCCATTTTGAGAGAAACCTCTGTTTACTTCATGGAACTCCAGGTATTAGAGGCAAATAGATCCTCTCAAAATCTGTTTTTGTCTTCCCCAGAAACTGCATTCTTTCCTAGCCCTACTTTTAAAGAGCCACACCCAGAGGACAATAATCCAATTAGGAAATTGGCAAACAAAAAATCTTGTAATGACTGGATCCTCTTCTGTTTTTCTACATTGTTATATGTGTGTTTTGTGTGATGTCTATAAAAAGAGCTCTAACTGATTGGCCTAAAGAAAAATAAGTGCTTAATTCAAATATTTTTAATGGAAAGATAAAAGCTGTAATGCCTTTTAATTCATGTGACTTCAATCTTTAAGCATTAAAAATAGTTATAAAGATAATTGGTAAAAATGCAAATGTTGTCAAAATATAAATAGGTTGTCTAAATCATGTAAGTCAGATACTAGGTTTGCTAAATGTTTTAAGGTTGGAAATTGCCTGCTTAACAACTTGGTAATGCCTGGGGACATACAAAATTAACCACACCACTATCTATGCTGGAAAAAAATCAGACTTTATTTGAGCCTAGCACATAATTAAAACAACTTACCAGATTTTACATTAAAGTTAAAAATTGCTAAAAGTTACCATTAAAACACTCAGATGAGACTACTGAAAATAGATTTACATGCAAGGTGTGTAAAAACAGTAAAATGTGTTTGTGGTAAAAGATGATAAAAAGGCATGGTAATGTAAATCTTGCCTAGGAATAAAGGATTATTTTGAAACCAATATAAGGGTGAAATTCAGCCTTCTCTCCCTTGCACAATATTTTCATGAAATAGTGAAGGATAATGAAAGATTTTTCATTTGCTTTGCAGATAGACTGCCAAAGGGAGGAAAGAGAAGACAGAAGACAAACTGTTTGGAAAGCTGTCTTCCCTCTTAATGAGTAAAGGTTTTTGCTTTCTTTTAAAATTTTTAAGTCATTATTTTGGCAAAATAAATAATGATAATCTGGATTTGCATTTAATAATATCAAGTGCTTTAAACCTCTAACATTTAACAGGCTTCTCAAAATCAAACTTCAGTTTCAAAATTGTCTACAGAGTGCCCCTGAAGCATCCAGAAGAGAGGTAAACAGGATTATTTAACATGTTAAGGTATGTAGGATTGCCAAAATTATGTTTAATCTTCTTTAGGTTATATTTCAGTGAATAATATTAACATATGTTTCAAAATCATATGGGATGTCTAAAATCCTAATGTCTGAGTATATGCCATCAATCATAATTAAAATTATTGTGTTAAACTATTGTAAAACATAAAAATAGACAGATTTGTCCATCACATTTTTAAGTGTAACTACCCTGGATATTTCATCATTCAAACATGATTATTGTCTTGTTTTAGTCCCCTACAAAATATGGTTTATAATCAGCTATAGGACTTTGACAGGTGCTTTAATATGTAGGTTTCTGATAACTTTGGAAATTGTGACATGGGAGTAAAGGAAAATGTACGGGAATCATGAAGAGCTGAAATATTCCTGAATGTCAAATAAGAGTTAACTGCAAGAACTAAACTAATAGAAATCTAAAGTAATCTTTCTTCAGTCGGCTTGAAACGTTGCTAATCCTTGTTTTGTTCTTCAGAGTCAAGGAAACTTTTAACTTATCTACTTTTAACAATTGAGTATACTCCTGTAAACAAAATTTGGAGTATATTTGTTTCTCTCTGCCTGGTTCCTCTACAGTTTTGATTCTTAACTTATGGCAATGTTGTTATTTTCATGAGTGCAATGAGAATCCATTTTATTTTGCAACAGGACACAATTGGAGAAACTGATTGTTTGACCAAGGCTGTGGCTGGACGGATGTGCTTCCCTTTATGGAAATCAAGCTTGACTTGCAAAGCCAATAAAAGCCCATTGAGAGAACTGGCTTCATACCATGTCTACACAGCCTCTGTACAGGGTTCCTAACCTGTGCTGAGTAAAGAATGTCACTTTTTAACAGAGCCAGGAACCCCATGTTCTTGGAACCTCAAAAAAAAAAAAAAAAGGCATTCTCCCAACTCATAGGTATTTGACAGTACAAACCCATGTCTGGGCTTGGCTTTGAAAAGTCTTATCTGAGATTCCTTGTGGTACAGAGTTCCATCAAAGCTAATTTGAAAAAAACTATGTAAAAATAATTATTCTTGCTGTACTTTATGCAAATAATCAGGTCAAGTATACGACTAAATTTTATTTTGCAAACAACTCAGTCCTATCATGGTTTGTATTCAACAAAAACGAGGACTGAAAAGAAAAAAAAAATATGTTTCAAAATTTATTTTATGCTTGTCATTAAATTTAAATCTCATTGGTTGTTTTTTAAGTTCTTGCCCACCTCTTAGACTAACTCTGCTTATTTCTGTAAACCCACCAGCAATCTCCAGTTGTAGTTCAGAAGAAACAAAAAGGGATGGGTAATGTAAAAACCTCTACCATTATTCTACTTATGGGCAATTATCTTGCAAATCCTTTGATGTGATGAGAGTATATATGGTGCCCATAACTCAGAGATTTATTTGTTTGGGAAATAAAACCAAAAAAGTTAACCAAAGCCAAGCCCCATGCACCCAAATCTTAACAGGAATAACTATAGTCACCCGTTATCTGGGCATGTCGACAGCCTTGGGATTTTCAGGCTGTCCTTACCTCCCCCTGGTTTCATTTTAATACATTTCCTTTAATAACCTAAATTGCTTTTCCTTGACTAAAGGCTATCAAGGTCTAAATGGTGATGCAAATGTAACCATACATGGGTGTGCCTTCCTTCCGAGGACACTTAAATCAACACTAGGAGGAACCCTAGCTGCTCTTCCCCTACACTACATCCCTCTCCAAGAGGAAGTAGCTAGAATTTAATACCATTCCCTCTAACAGCAATTAGGATCTCCACTGCTGAGGCAGGAAATGAGAGAGGAGAAAGGAAAAAATTTGATCAGGTAGGCAGTTAGGGTGGGTCCTCTGTTGAATTCTTTCAAACAAAAGAACAGCCTGCAGGCACAAAACGGAAACTTACACAGGGACGCTTGCCTAAGATGTGCCCACAGATACACAGATAAAAAAGGCAACTCAGATGACTTGCCCAGACATGCCCACAATAACAAATTCCTTCCTCTGACACATGCACAGTAAGGGGAACAAAGCAATATAGAATAACTCAAGCTACAGGCCCTCATGCACATTAGGAGGACAGGGTGGAGTTACCAGAAATTTGTGCCTTATGCAAATGAGATGTCCAGCCCTCATTGATTTCTTATAAAAGCCTGTGCATTCAACTGTGAAAAATGCAATCCTTTCCTGGACTCCTCCCTGCTGCAGAGAGCTGTCCTCTTTCTTTCACCTGTTAAACTTCTGCTTCTGCTCTGATATCACCCCTGGTGTGTCTGCCTCCTTGAATTCTTCAGCCATGAGACTATGAACTTTGGGTGTCACCCCAGGCAATGAGTCCATTTCATTCTGATGAGGCTTCAGATGGAACTGAGGAACATCGTATTGGAAACTGGAGTAAATGCTGCGCTTGTTATAAATTGGCAAATATGTTGCCTGAATTGTGGATGCTCAAGGGCTTTGTGGAAGGCCAAATATGAGAGTGAAAAACTAGGATGTCTGGCAGAAGAAATTTCTAAGAAAATTATAGGAGATACAGAGTTACTTCTGGCTGCTTATACTGAGATTCAGGAGCAAAAGAATAACTTAGAACAATTTATAAATAAAAAGGGAAGCAGAGTGGAGAGATTCGAAAAAGTTTCAACCTAGCCACGTAAAGGGTAAAACAAAATGTCTTTAGGAGAGGAAACCAAGGGTGTGGTGTGGATAGAAAAGAAGCAGGTGCAATTTCACACATGGTAAAATTGAACCTAAAGGCATTTTAGAGATCTTCAAGGCTGCTGCTCTCATCACAGGCCCTGAGGCTTATGAAGGCACAATGGTTTCAGGGGATAGGCCTAGGGCACTCTCCATGGGCTCACTACCCAGAGCTGCCTCAGTTCTCTGCTCCTGGAACCCCACACTCCAGCACAGCACCCAGTGGCTGCTCCAGCCATGATACAGCCCCAGGTGTGGCTCACGCTGCAGCTCTGTAAAGCAGATCATAAACCTTAGTGGCATTCACCGTGTGCTAATACTGCAAATGTGCAGAAAGCAAGAGCTGTGGATGCTTAGCAGCCTGTACCCAGATTTCAAAAGATGTCATCAAAATAATAGGGGTACAGGGAAGAGACGTGTAGGGACTCAAGCACTGCAGAGAGCCCCTGCTAGAGCAATGCTGAACATAAATGTAGGGTTGGAGCTGCTGCAGAGTTTCTATTAAGGCAAAATCCAGTGGAAACGTGAGAGCAGGAAAGCCACCAAGAATCCAAAGCTGTAGAGCAACCAGTATCCAATACCAGCCTGGAAGAGCTGAGTGGACTGAGGCCAGCAAATTTAAATGGGGCAGGGATACCCAAGGCTTTGGGGGCCCTGGTACAGGGTGCTTCAGACTTGTTTTAAAACTGGTACCCCTTTCTTCTTGCCTTTTTCTCCCTCTTGGAATGGAAAAAAAACCTCTCCTTTTCCTATCAGCGTATCTTGTAATCTAGATACATTATTTTGATTTCAGAGGTTCACAGATGAGTCTTTGACTTCTGAGTTGGTGCTAGACTATGTTAAGACTTTGACTTTATGAAGATGGAATGAATGTGGGAAAGACATGAGCTTTGGGGAACAAGGGGTGGAATGTGGTGGTTTAATGTCCCCTCCATAGCTCATATTGAAGCTTAACTTCCAATGTGACAGTATTAAGAGGTAGGATCTTTATGAAGTGATTGGATCATGAGGGCTCTACTTTCATGAATGGATTAATCTATTTAGGTATTCATAGATTAGTGGGTTAATGGATTAATGAGTTACTATGGGAGTGCAGTGTGTGACCTTGTAAGAAGAGGAAGAAGGACCTAAGCCAAGCTAACATGGTAGCATTGTAGCACACTCAGTCCTGAGCTAGCACTGTATCATATGAATAGCTCAGTCCCCTTGCAATATCATGCCCTGCACTGCCTCAGGATGCAGCAGAGTCCCCACCAGTAAGAATGCTGTCTCCAGATGCACCCCCTGGACTTTGAACTTCCTGGCCTGTGTAACTGTAAGAAACAAATTCCTTTCATTATAAACTACCCTGTTTCAGGAATCTGGTTATAAGCAGCAGAAAACAAAGTCATCCATTTATGGATATTCAATTGTTCTACCACCAGCTGTTTAAAAATATTATCAATTCCTAATTGAAATTCTTTTGCATCTATGCCAAGAATGAACTCACCTACATGAAGTAAAGTATCACCAGAAAATGATGAAGAAAATGGGCCCAAGCAGTATCTTGCCACCTGTCTACCTGTAGAGGTCTTCAACCAGAGCACTGGTTGTTCCACCTGGCCTGGGGACTACGGGAGAGAAGAAGCCTTCTCTCTAGGGAAGGCTGGGGTGAATCCCTAAAGGAAGAAACACAGAACAGAATATTTGGTTCAACAACAAATAGAAGAAGCTACTGAAGCAGCTTAAAGTTACATAATACTCAGGAAAAAAATGGACTTGTGCAAAGTAAATTTGGAGGTGATAAAGCATTGGATAGCAAAATGAATAAAATCAATTTCTAAATTTCAAAATGACATTGTGATTGAATTTATATTCAACCAGTTGTAGGTGAAGACTCCAAATTCCAAAATAATGCAAATCAATCTGACTGGATTTTTTAATTAAAATGCTAGAAAATTTATTGGAGAACTATATCTAGTGCTGTTATATACACACAAAAAAATGTCTGGGATCCATTTTACTTTCAAAGAAATCAAAGAAAAATAAATAAAACAGGTGTAGATTGACCAAGACATTTTGCGTCTATAAAAAAGGAAGATGAAGACAAACATAAGACAAAAAAGGAAAAGAAGGAAAGCAGCAATTAAAAAATAAAACAGTTCTAGAAGCCTAAGAAGATACTAATCCAGATTGTCTTCCCCTATCAGCCCATCTTTCTGTGTCAGGAAACAGAGACAGGGCATTTACTCTTGATCTTCTTTTCACAGAACCAAGAGCTGGAGAGTCCTTTTGTTTCTAAAGAGGAGAAATCCAGCATACTCAAAACCTGCATTGAAAGTAAAAACAAAATTTGGTGCAAGAGGCTACCTCTATTAGTGATAGTCTAAAGGTTTCCAAACCTAAACCTGTGTCAGAGTGTAGAGAATATTCTCTTGGAAAAAAATTGAAACAGAAAATGACAAAAAAAAAAAAAAAATCATTCAGTCATGTTCCAAATTGGGATTCCAGATATATTGTAGCTGTTTTTTTTTTCTTCACACTCACCTGCACCAGGGCCATTGATCTTAATGAAGATCACATCTGCCTAAGAGGTGACCTAGTTCAAGAAGGTGGCAATTCCTCAAAAGATAACTTTACCAAAGACAAATGCTTTCTCTATGGAGGCATAAAATATGAAGATCTCCAGTGAGATGTCAATATCCTTAACTGGAAGCAGCTCATTGTCCTCCTCATCTCCTCCAGGTCATCACCAAATAAACCTTCCAAGAAAAAATCTACTCCAGGAAAAGCTAGCAGATTATCTTCTTTAGCAAGTCCTCAAAGGTAAATGCACTGGCTGTTACCTCCAGCAACTCCCTTATCCAAAACTCCTCATGCCTCAATACCATACTTTCAAACTGTCTCTTAAATGAAGGAAATCACAGTCTGCACAGCAGAAATTCAAGATCTCCCACTCTTCACCTCTCAGAGAAGCTTCCCAGTCCCTCAGGAATATTTGCCTTCTTTATTATCAAAATATAAGAGAGATCCTTTTCTGAGCTGATTTATCCAGGAGGCCTCATCATCATAAGCAAACAAATGATATGTGCCATCACTACAAGCTGGAGCTCCTCAGATCACCTTAAGCCCTTTCCCTCTTTCTTCTCCCACTTGACCCCTCTCCTAAGAGGATCAGCAGCAGCATGGTACCACATCTCCAAGTACTAGATCCATGATTCCAGAACCCAAAAAGACAAAAACAAAACAGCCTCAGCAAGCTCTTAGTCTGTAAGGAGAGCCTCATACTCTATATTTATTTAGGGATTTTATGATTCATCAACCAAAAAACAAAACAAAGGAATCTTCAGCCCTGTTTAGTCTAAGTCACCCATTAGCAGCTATACAGTCGTTTTTACTGTACCAGTGAGAAAGGCTAAAAGCCCAACTCCAAGCCTACCACTACCAGAGAATTTGAACCACAACCAAAGTTTAAAGAAAAAAAAATTTAAAAAGGCAAGACTTTTTTAAAAAAAAGTATAAGAAGCGCACAAAAAAGAACAACAAACTCAAGGAAGAAAAGGCTGTGAGCTGCATCCCCTGCATTCATTGCCTCTCCCACAACCACATCAGTGCATGAAGAACCGGAGACAGAGATAGAGCCCAAAGGGAGAGTGTAAGTTTCCCAAGTCCTTACCAAAAGCACAAACCTGTACAGCAGGCAGAACTGTGAGCCACTTAAATGTTTTTTCTTTATAAAGTACCCAATATCAGGTATGTGTTTACAGCAGTACGAGAACGGACTAATGCATTTTCCCCCCTCCTAGCTCTTTCTTTTGGAAGGGGAGATAACAAAATTGGTTTCATAAAGAATCTCAAGAAGGACCTTTCAGTTCTATACAATTTTGTTTAAAAAATTACACAAACTGATCATATTTGTGTGGGTCTATTTTTTTTTTTTTTTTTTTTTTTTTTTTTTTTTTTTTTTTGAGATGGAGTCTCACTCTGTTGCCCAGACTGGAGTGCAGTGGCGCGATCTCGGCTCCCTGCAAGCTGCACCTCCTGGGTTCACGCCATTCTCCTGCCTCAGCCTCCCGAGTAGCTGGGACTACAGGCGCCCGCCACCACGCCTGGCTAATTTTTTTTGTATTTTCAGTAGAGACAGAGTTTCACCATGTTAGCCAGGATGGTCTCCATCTCCTGACCTTGTGATCCACCCACCTTGGCCTCCTAAAGTGCTGGGATTACAGGTGTGAGTCACCGTGCCTGGCCTTGCGTGGGTCTATTTCTGAACACACCCTTCTATTCCATTGCCTTTGTCCTTTCACTAGTATCACATTGTCTTGATTACTGTGACATTCACATTAGGTTTTGAAATCAGGTAGTGTGAGTCCTCCAGCTTTGTTTTTTATTTCCAAGATTGTTTTGGATATTTCTTTGTCTTTCTACAGAAATGTAAGAAATAGCTTGTAAATAGCTATAAAAACTATCATGTTTTTATTGGTTTTGCTTTGAATCTACATATCACTTTGAGGAGAACTGAATTTTCCAACACATATATGGTATGTCTATCTATTTACATACAGAAGATACAACACCTAGAAGACGAAGAAATACTTCCCATATATTTTTAAGAGATCCTCATTATTTTAATGCCAAAATCAGATCAAGATAATACAAGAAATAAAACCACAGTCTAATAGCCCTTTTAAACATAACACATCTGGGTATGATTTTTTTTGTAATAGAAAATGTTAAACTATACATTCAATTTATTTTATAATTGGGAGAATATTGATGTTATCAGCTTCTTTTTGAGTGATTTGCTCAATGTTAACATCTATTTTTAATTTTAATAACTAATTATATTGCTTTTCAAGAAGGCTATTATAAATTACTCTTTTGAAAGCAATCTATGACAGTTTGTTTTTCCTACAGTGCTAGAGAAGTAGTAGTATTCACAATTTTTAATTTTTACTAAACATATTGACAAACATTATTTCATTTGTACTTTAAGTTATAATTACATGATGAAGTGTGACTAAGTATATTTGTTACTACTTATATTTATTATTATTTTGAATTTACTATTTTATAACTTGCCTAATCAAGTATAAGACAAATTTCCACTGTACATATTTACCAATGACACATGGATCATGGGCTTTATTTCCCTTTTGTAGATGCACGTGTTTGTTTTGTTTGACTAGGTGTGGGGAGGTTGCATGGTATGTAAAGCTCATTAAGTAGTGATCAGCATACTAAAGCATATAGACCAAATCTGGCCTATATTTAGTTTTATAAAACATAGCCATGCTCATTTCTCCATATATTATCTATAGCTAATTTTACACTGTGACAGCAGAATTGAGCAGAGTTGAGTATTTTCAAAAAAGATTGCATGACCCACAAAACTGAAAATAATTACTATCTAGCTGTTTACAGGAAAAGTTTACTGACCTATGTAACAAACCATAGATAATAGGATTTAGAACTGAAAGGAATAAAACATACACTTTAATTCTTTATTTGCAGATAAGGAGACAGAATAAAATCATGGAATAATTGGCCTACATAAATGCATCCAGATACTGTTACCAAAAATAAGAACTCTGACCGCTTTGGTTTTGTTTCATTATTTTTCTACTCTACTCATGTTTATCTTCATCTTCAAAATCAGTAGATATGGACATTTATTATAGAAACTTAACAAAAAAAAACCTTTGGTAAAGAGCTATTAAGCAGATTATAAATATTTTTACCACAACAAGATCTTGCCTGAATCACAAATGATGTTTTATAAGATTGATTATCAAGTTCTTGAAAATATGATCAATATGAGTATGTCATGTCAACCATCATCTGAGTAGAATCAATATCTAAAAACACTAATCTTTGCAGAGGGTAAAAATTTTTCCATTATAATGTTTGACAGTGCTTAAAATTATTTAAGCATTCAAGTCACATAGCCTAAGTATTTAGATTATAATATATAATAATAGATATTATTACAGTAATATATTTTAATATTAAGAATTTAGATCTAATAATAAAAATGAGCATAGCTAAAGATTGTTAGGAAATGACATCACCCCTTTGCCCTTATCATTCCTCAAACATCCTACTATGAATTCTTTTGTTTTCCATCGTGAACTTTGTATACAGATAAGCAGTTTTTAGTAAACTTGTTTTATTTAAGATAATTGAATGTATTAGTTTGTGGGTTATCATAAGAAATACCACACACTGGAGGCTTTAACAACAGAAATTTATTTTTTCACAGTTTGAAGGCTGGAAGTCTGAGATCAAGGTGTTAGCAGAGTTTATCTTATTCTGAGGCCTCTCTCTTGGCTTGTGGATGTGTGTCTTTTCCCTTTGTCTTCGCATCATCTTTCCTCTGTATCTGTGTCAAAATTTCTACTTATTTTAAGGATATCAGACATACTGGATTAGGGCCCACAAACATAACCTCATTTTACCATAATTGTCTGTTTAAAGGTCCTGTTTCTAAATCCAGTCACTTTTTGAAGTACTGGAGATTAGGACATCAACATATGCATTTGGAGGGAGGGGAACAATTCTGCTCATACCAATATACTGCCCTGATATTGTCCCATATTATTCATTGACATATTGGGACCATTTAAAGTGTATTCATGATAGAAATGAAGAAGTTGTTGTTGTAACTTGATGTTTTATCCTGTGAAAATGGTGATTCAAGCTGGGCATGGTGGATCATGCCTGTAATCCTAGCACTTTGGGAGGCTGACGTGAAACAGGACATTTCCCTGACCCCTTAGTGGGTGAGAACTGGAATGTGAGCGCTAGAACTAGCCAATGGCTTTGGCACCAGAGAGAGAACTCCACTCACTCAAACCCTCTGTGCTCATCCCCTCACAGGAGAAAGCATACATGTGAGCTGGTGCAGGAGCTGGGGTGAGGGCTTTTTGGCTCCGGCAGGAACAAACTCCGTACTGGCCCTGCATTAGGATCTAGCGGGGTGTCTGTGACCCTTGAAGCCCCAGAAGGAGTGTTACAGTCAGTGTTATTCTCTTTTAGCTTTGCCATCTGCAAATGGTCGTGTTGACAGCTCAGTGGAAGGTCAGTTTGACAGCCTTCTGCACCTGCAACTGAGTTCTTGTCTGGCATCCAGGAGGAATGAAGTTGCGCAAACGAATTTGAAGGATGGTAAACGCAAGGGATTTTATTGCTGATGAACGTGACTCTCAGCAGGAAGGGGAGCTGAAAAGGGGATGTAACAGGAAGCTAATCTTCCCCTGGAGTCCAGCCATCCCTGGCTAGACTCCTCTCTGAAGCTATGCCAATAAGTTAAGTTGTCCCTCTGAAATAAAGCCACTTCTCTCCAACCACAGTCTCCAACATCCAGCTGCGTCTCCTCTCTCCTCCTCTAGTGGAACCCAGGGTTTTTATATGCACAGGATGGGGGTGGGGTAGGCCATCAGTGGTTTTGGAAAAGGCAAAATTTGAGCAGGAAAACAAGAATGTATGTTCTCACTTTGGGCCGTGGTTCCAGAAATTCTGCCCAGAATTCCCCTGCCTTCTGTCCCTGTCAGAGGCAGGCAGATCGCTCAAACCCAGAAATTTGAGACCAGCCTGGTCAAGATGGCCAAACCCTGTCTCTACAAAAAAAATACAAAAATTATCTGGGTGTAGCGTCATGCGTCTGTGGCCCCAGCTACTCAGGAGACTGGGGTGAGAGGATCACCTGAGCACTGGGAGGTCCAGGCTGCAGTGAGCTGTGCTTGCACCACTGCACTACTGCAGCCTGGGTGACAGAGTGAGACCTTGTTTAAAAAAAAAAAAAAAAAAAAAAAGACCATTCGGATACACAGATACATTAAATATTTACATGATATAGAATAAAAACGAAGAAAAAATGTAACCGGAGGGATGTTTTACAAATCTAAACTTTAGGATACGGAGAAAAATAGTGGTGCTTTCAATATTTAAAAAGAAGCTAGAATGGGAAAGCTAAGATCTACTTAGTAATTAAAGTATAAATTCTAAGTCCTGTTTATACTAAAGTGATCTACTGGGAAGAAAATGATTGAATTTTTTTTTTGTTTCATATATGATCTTTAAAATGATCATTGGATTTGAGCTTGCCAATTCTAAAATGACTTTGATTTGGGATTTGGGATTCCTTTCTCATTATATTTTGTTGTTTTTCTCCTTCATTGATTTAAATCCACCATGATCATAATTTGTCACTCAAATTCACAAAAAAAAGAAAAGAAATAAATATAGTCATATTTATTCATATATCAAAAGAAATCATTTATTTCACAGGCCTTAGGTTATCTGGAAATACTATTTCAGATCTACTGTTAGTTACAATGTTTAGGTACTAGTTTTCCTATTAGTATTTCTCAGTTGTCCAGTCATTTTTCTAATTGGTCATTGACTTTGCTGACTTTGTTATGCCTTATAGGCAACATTGATGTTTAGTAACAATGATAACAACAATAATAAGCAGCATCCACATTTTTAGGACAGTAATCACTGTTTCTATTTCTAAACCATAAAAACATTCAAGAAGGTTTTCAAATGACATATTTGACACTCATAATCCAAAAATAAAATTTGATTCATCATACAGGACCAACAACATCGCTGCTAAATGTCCCTACTGAAATGTAGACACCTGAAAAGTCAATGTAACTTTAAGGACTCCTATAGAATTCTCACTGAAGATATCTAATTATTATTGATAATATTTTTTACTTTATAAATTGGAAACCAAATGGGATCAAGTGACTTGTTCAAATGTATGTAGAACAGGCAAGTAAAATAATCACCTGATTTATTTTACATTTTAGTTGCATGACATGAATGTGTTAAATCAGTGGAGATACATATCTTCAAATTATTAGTTTGAAAATTATGCTTGTATTATTTTAACAAAAGAAATATATTCCATTGTGGACAAGATGGACAAGGCAAACACCCATACTTGCTCACTTGTACAGAATCTCTGAGGTTAAATTGAATTTCATATTAAATTTAGTACAAATAACTTATTTTTAAATTTTATTTAAATAAAATAAAACTTCATGCATACAAATAAATAATAAGTATTTTTATAATGGTGCAGTTTACATCACCACATTGATGCATACTTACATTTTTGGCTGATTATTATTATAAGACTTTCTTTTATAGGAAATAAAGAAAAATGTTTATGAAGGACTCTTAATGTTTCCTTTATACCACCTTCATGGTTTCTGGCTACTATATTTGGATTATTTGAACTACAGCTTAAATCCCTGTAGCTATCTGTAGTATTCAGAAGACTTGTTTTCATATGAAAAGGCATTTCTGAATACAGACAATAATCTTTTCAAGTTTTAAGGCTGCTGTTAGCATTTGCTACTACTGAGGATCAACTGCCATGAGCTACAAAGAAATCACAAACTCCAACCCTCCTGCTAAGTAGAAAATCCAAAATGGCAGAAGGAAGTGTTTTAGCTCCCAAGATAAATTGTGAAGACCTTAACTGCTTGAAAATCTACCTTGTACAGGACAACATAAGAAAACACCAAGGATAGAAAACACAACCAAGTAAACAAAGACCAACCCTCAAATACAATTCAAAATGGAAAGTCATAGAGAGCAGTAGTCATAAAGGTAAGGTGAAGAAAACCATGACAATCTTATTTTCAGATTAAATAACTACCTTCAGAAATATAATATGATCTGAATTTTATAATATCAAATTTAAGCACTTTTTAATAAGCCAAGTTTTCATATAATAAGATTTTTTTCTAGTCTGGTTTTCAAAGAGAGTTTAGCCCTTTTGCTGCATAATGTATCCTTTTATAATCATTATTATATGACAACTGTAAGTTATATACTTATAAGAAAACAAGTTTCTGCATGTGTACTATATAATAATCTATTTTATATGCATACCTTAATACATACATAGAGAATTCTGGAAAATTATTATTAAAACATTAATGATGATAATATGAGTAACTTAAACTTTTATATTTATATTTTTGCAAATTGACATTTGTTTTATCATACTGACATTTTTACAACATAAATAAGCAAAAAAATCTATTATATAATGATTCCTAAATATAGATTTTCAATCCTGATATACTTCTAAATTTCAGACTCATAAATTCTTCTTTTAATTGAAAATCTATGTTTAGAATTGTAACTAGCATCTCAAACAACATTACAAAGCAAACCTCTTGACTTCTACCATCAAACTTGTTTGTTTCACAGTATCTGCCTATCTCAGTAAGTGCTTAGCCATTCCAATTTTCCAGTCTATCAGACAAAATATCTTGCAGTCATCTTTGACTCCACCTTCTAGCAAGTATCTTAATTCAAATCTTGTCAACTTTATCATAGAGATATGCTTTGAATCCTACCATTCTTCCTCACCTAGGCTGTGGGCATCTTAGGCTAAGCTCCCAGCATGTTTGATGTTGGCCTCCATGTTTGAACTGGTCTCCTTGTTGTTACCCTTATTCCTTTATGGTCTGCATCCAACAATACAGAGTAAACCTTTGAAAATACAGCTCAAGTTTTGGCATCCTCTGTTGAAAATCATCAGAAATTTTTTCTATTGTTAAAATTCCAAATTCTTATTGTAATATGCAGAGGCTACCCAATGTCAATTTACACCCATTCTACTTTTTTTTTCAGTAACAGAATTTTGTTTTTATTTGGAGTGGCATAGTGATTATCCCCAGAATTACATTCCCTATTATGCCTTATATAGAGAGGTAAGATGGAAGCTGACAAGATATAACCAGAAATGTTTACATGGTGCTTTCAGGAATGTTCTACAATGGTAGTAAGTCCAAGTGGCACCCCTGGTTTGTACTTGCTCTTTTCTGTTTTCAGCATACTAAAATGAAGTGTGTCATTTAAACTTGGCAGCTATCCTACAAGCAAGTGGATAAGGACCACACCCTATGGAGAATGTAAAAATAGAATTACCCTGAGTACTTAATGAAAAACTGGAGCCATCATAACAGCCCTGGACCTCTTATGTGATAAAGCTTTAAAATATATATATATTTAAAAGAAAAGTTGTTATTTGAGTTTTCTATTGCATGCACCTAAACAGTCTCTAATGGTTACATGTGTTCTTTAGAGCTCTAGATTTACCTACACCTAGTTCAGTAACCTGCCTGTATTAATTTGCTCAAACTGCTTTACAAAGTATCAGAAAACTGGGTGGATTAAAACAACAGAAACTCGTCTCACAATTCTGGAGGCTAGAAGTCAGAAATCCATGTATCAGCACGGCCATGGTTCTTCTGAGACTCTGGGGCAGAGGAGAAGGCAGTGTGAAGACAGAGGCAAGAGATTGGAGCAATGCAGCTGGAAACAAGGAAGTTGAAAGACATAAGGAAGAATTCTCTACTAGTGCCTCCAGAGGGAGTGTGGCCCTGCAGAAACTTTCATCTAAGACGCTGGCCACTAAAACCCCAAGAGAATAAATTTTTATTGTTTTAAGGCACCCGGTTTGAAGGAATTTGCTACAGTACCCTCAGGAAGCTAACACAGAGCCTTTACCTCAGCAGTTCCCTTTTCTTACCTATCTCCTATGTATTTTGCTGCCTGACTACATTCAGGTCTTACAGGTACTGCTTCATCACTACAAATTTCATCACCCGACACATCACATATCTCTGTGTTATTTTGTGTCTGCCCCTCTCATTAGAATTGAAGAAACATGAAAGCTAGAACTTTCCTATCAGCAGCTTGCTGGAGGTTATCTACATTAGTGTAGACACAGTAAATATTTGATTGATCTAATGTGACTAATTAAAAACTAATAAGTATTGATTGAACTAATGGAGTACTGTAAACAATATACTGACCTTTAAATTTTGTGCTTTTAATTGATATGATTTGAATCATTAGAAAAGACAAGTCATGTGTTTCATAATTACATCTCAATTATTCTTTATGATGCTAGGGAATGTTATCATCAATCATATCGAAAAGAGGGGGAGATGAGAACACTACATTCTATTTATATTTTCACTTTCTAAGAAGCAGTTTCTTTAATCCACTCTTTACTAGAAAGAAATATTGAATTCAGGAAAACACATTTTTAAAAACATCAAGCACATGGATTTTTTTATAAACAAAATAAGCTAATGCTTATGAAACATATCAGCTATTATTTTTCCACATAAACAAATACACAAAAATAAATTTATTCACATCAATGATGTTATTTACAATATATACATGTCCCTTCCTTTGCAGTCTCATTGATTTGTCAGCTAAGTCTAGATACTTGAAATGACCTTGAGACATAACTTGGCAAAGAGTGGGTAAAAGAGGAATGTCCAGAGAAAGGAGAGTTGTCAGCCAAAATGCTTCTAGTATCCTAAAAACAGGGCATCAGAGAACAGTCTTCTGAAAAAATAATAAATATGAATAAACAGTATTGAGTAGTCACATACATCTGTGGCAAGTGTATTTAAGTGAGAGAGTAAGATGCTTATGCTAAGGTGATGGATATCTAAAAAGAAAATACATATTCTAAAATAATCCTGGCAAATATAGTTACAACGAAGGTGATTAATAACATCATTGCCTTTGGCTTTTATATTACCCTATGGATCTATTTATTAGGATTTAAATTTAAATCAGAGAGGTTGATGCTGAGGTAGCTTAGCATAAGTTTGTGGGAAATAAGAAAGAAATTAGGTGGCAAGAAGCAAGTCTATAATATCCCTCTCTGCTTCTAATAAAATGTAAACTGCATTACAAGAAATGTAGAATTTAACTAAAAAATGTTTTATGTAAACAACTAAAATTATATCCCGATGGTGTCAAAATACTGTCATATTCCATGAGGTTTCCAAAGCCTCTTCTTTTTCTTAAGAAAAATAAGATGTTTTATTTTTTGAAGTGTCCATGTATATATCCCACAAGAATCCTCTTTTTAAAAAATAGTTTTACACATTTTATGAAGTTGTATGTATGTGGGTGTCTCTGAGTCTCTGCATGCTATGAGATTTCGGGCGAAAAAGACTACTTGTTCATTTTTAAAGCATTTTAGATGATTTTAATATAAAAATTCACTTATGACTTTACAATTTATCTTACTGTATTTTTATCAGTTTATAAATGGGTAAATTTTTATCTTTCTAAAACAGAAGGCTTATTATATATAAAAAAACATTTTTGTAATAATTTTTCACACAAGTAGAAAACTTGTTATTCGAAGAAAACCATTTATAACTTTAAAATTGTATGTTAATATATTTTAATCAGATTTTTTTCTTAGTCTGAAGAACAAGAGTATATGAGTTTTATATGTGAGCTAAAATATATTATTAAGACTAGAGATAGATACGTAGATATAACTATTTTGTACGCATTTGTGTTCACAAGCACACATACATACATATATCTGCACATTGAATGCCTTTTTAAATTCTCCCTTTCAAAATAGAAACTAGAATACTTTAGAGTGAATCAGTACATACTATCAGAGACAACATTAAAGACAAAAATGTTTTCATGTCTGCTGTATGGGAGCCAGAGCTATTCAATTTTCCTGCAGGCTTCTTCTGAAAAAACTACCAAGAGACTGCATTTTTATACCACTGGGGGTACTTCTTATGGTATGTATTAATTTGTATTGGCAAGAACTTTTGGAAGACAGCCATTTGCCAGCTTTCCAAGAACAAATTGTATAGTTACAAATGTTGCAGCAGTAGGCATGTATGAAAATGTTGAAATCATAAAAAATAAAAGTGGATTAACATTCGTTTCTTAGCATTAGTATGCAAATAATTGAGAGCTAATGCAATTTTCAGATTACAACCTAATTTTATAGCTTACTTTAGCAAATTGGCTAAAATGAATAAATGTGCTAGTGCAGACATCTAAGTTTAAAATTTGCATCTAATAAATGACTGGCAAATAAAAGATGTCTATGCAAAAAATGGTGTTGCTTGTGAAGAACCTTTGCTTGTTCAGTGATTCTCAATCTACCTGTATCAATGTATGTAAAACCATTAATATATTTTCAGTGTCATT